>NW_004166862.2:0-185823 GCF_000001405.40 Homo sapiens
ACGCTGGGGGGAAACGCCTGCAGCTGGCTCTTCCGGGCATCACTGAATTCCATGCTGGGGGGAAACGCCTGCAGCTGGCTCTTCCGGGCATCACTGAATTCCATGCTGGGGGGAAACGCCTGCAGCTGGCTCTTCTGGGCATCGCTGAATTCCATGCTAGGGGGAAACGCCTACAGCTGGCTCTTCTGGGCGTCACTGAATTCCATGCTGGGGGAAAATGCCTGCAGGTAGCTCTTCTGGGCATCACTGAATTCCATGCTGGGAGGAAATGCCTGCAGCTGGCTCTTCTGGGCCAGCAGGTCCGGCTGCCCTCCTGCTTATCATCATCTGACATTGAATAAAGTTTGCTTATTTATTTTGATCAAGCTCTGTGGAGCAGAGATTGTTGCCTGTTTTGTTCAGTGCTGCATCTTCTATGTCTAAAATAATGCCTTCCTTGAACTATTTGATGGATCAGGGGTGTGGAAAGCTCTATGGTTTGCCTGGCCACGTGAGGGGGACTTCATCTGCATTTCCATGAAGCTGGAGGATGAAGGTGGGAAGACGGGTGTCTGCTTCATGTTCATGCTACTCATGAAAACAACGACCAACACAGAAGATGAAAAGGACGTACAAAGTAATGAAACTGATAACCAAGGGATAAGAGAGACATAATAATCACCACATGGACACGCCTAAGTGCAGGTCGAAGCACCAGAATTCCAATTCTGTGATCATAGCCATGGTAATAACTTTGAGGCAGGCTCCATTTTGAAACATAAATAAACAGAAAAATGAATAGCTCTTCCTGTCAACAGGGTTGCTCTCCACACTCTTGTACATAAAGAATGGTGATCTTTCACTCGGAAGAGCCAGCAAGGGATGACCCAGGAAATTGCACTGAGAAAACTTGCAGCTTCTATGAAAATAAAATTAAATAGATATTTAATTCCATTCTTCAAATCCCAAACCTAGATCAAAAGAAGACCTTTCAAGAATCAGACACAGATGTGAGAGAATAATCATCTTAAATCAAGATGTAGAATTTCCCAAGTAAAATCTCAGAAAATGAAAAGAGAAGTATTTATAAATATTATTTTATAAACAAAAAGTTGTATGTTTAAACTTTATAGAGCAAATTAAATTAAAAATAATAACTGGAAATAACCTTCAATAATACTTAATAAGTAACATATACCAACCAATAAAAACAGTAAAATTGCTTTAAAACTTGACAAATGACATGAATAAAATATTTGCAGAAAAGGATAAGTCAAAATGGCTAAATCCATGTCAAAATGTGCAGAATAATATAATCTTATACTGTTTCACCTATCAAATTAGCAAATAATTTTAAAAGTTCTATTCCTCATAGCCGGTGTGCATATGCTGAGAGAAGTCCTTTTTTTTCCTGTGGGAAGCTTAATTGATAGGAAAATAATTAATTGAAAAATAATTTGACAGTATGTACCAATTTTCTTTAAAATAGTCATATTCTGGCTGGGCACAGTGGCTCACGTCTATACTCCCAACACTTTGGGAGGCCTAGGTGGGTGAATCCCTTTAGCCCAGGAGTTGGAGACCAGCCCAGGCAACATGGCAAAACCCTGTCTCTACAAAAAATAAAAAATTAGCTGGATGTGGTGGCATGCCTGTAGTCCTGGCTACTCAGGAGGCTGGGGTGGGAGGATCGCTTGAACCCAGGAAGTCGAGACTGCAGTGAGCAGTGATCACACCACGGAGTGAGACTCTGTCTCAAAATTTTTTTAAAAAGTCATTTTCTTTAGGCTAATCATCTCACTTTTAGAAACCTATCCAAATAAAATAGTGATAAATGAAGAAAAGTATGAGAATACACAAAGATATTCATTATAACATTATTTATAATAGAACTAATTTTGAGAGAATATAAATGCCTAACCTTAGGATAATATTAAATAAATTATTCCATTTTCATATTATTGGAGAGAGTAAATATTAAAACTGATATAAACAAAGAACTTTTAATATTGTAGGAACATTCTCATGAACATAATAGTAAGCTTAAAAAGTCAAGATACAAACCTATACATGCAGTACAGCCTCATTTATAATATTGAACCAAAGAAAAGACATTCACCCAATTATCAACAGCAAATAATAGAGTCAAGAAGTGTATGCATAATCTTTATTTTCTTCTTTGCTGCTGTGTGGTTTTCTATAAGGAACATTTTTATGCTTTTAATCAGAAACACAGGGTGAGAGTGAGAAAGTGCTCTATGAACGTCCAGCGTCAGGCTGGGCATTGGCCGCTTCTCAGCCCTGGCAGTGCTGGGGGTGAGCCGCGGGCTCCGGCCTCCACTTTCTCTGACAAATGCCTTAGTGACTGCCATGAGCTGCATTGTGCCCCCCAAAATTTATGTTGACACCCCAGCCTCCAGTGTTTCAAAGTGTGACTTATTTGAAGACCAAGCCTCACGTAGATGATTACGTTAAAACAAGGTCCTTTGAGTGGGTGCCAATCCAATCTGACTGGTGTCCTTATCAGAAGCGGAGATTAGGATGCACAGAGAGACCCTGGATTCATGTGCACCGAGGGATGACCATGGGAAGGCACAGCACGAAGGCACCATCTGCAAGCCAAGGAGAACCCCCTGGAAAACCAACCTGCCCACACCCAGGTCTCAGCCTCCAGCCTCCGTGTCTGTGGTTAAACCATGCAGTCTGTGGTGCTTGTCAAGGCAGCCCTGGCCGACCGACGGTTTCTGTGATTGGAATTGCTGCCTGTAAATATGAGTGAGAGCCCAGCCGATAGAGATGCATGAGGCCTGCAGAAGCTTGGCACATCGATGGTGCGGTGGCAGAGGTGGTGAGGGTGTTAGCCAGGAACGTGGTCTGCAAGGCAATATTCCTTCGCAAGGCGGGTATTAGAAAAAAGACTGTGCAAGTTGATGTCTACACACAGTGCTGAGCACCTTCACGCTGATGAACTCTCACCATTCTTGACTGAAGAAACAGGGTGTGATGGGTAATTGGAAAAAGCAAAAACGCTGAACAGGACATCTGTGAAGCATTGGTTTTAAAGTTGGGAAAATATGAAAAATCCAGACACACCTGTGGAAAGAACATGCCCTGAAGGTACAGGTAAGGCTAGCCCAGGGAGGGAAGGAGAGAGCCACAGGCAGGGAGGGCGCAGCCAGCTGCCTGTCAATCCCCCAGCCACCTGCCCCTCTATCCCCCGGCTGCAAGGTGATGGACAGCTCGGTTGTCAGCATTTCCTGCGTGAGTGTTCTACAGTGTGACCTGTGAAACAGGGTTATACTTCTCCAGAGCAGGCAGATATCTGATTACAAACAACTGCAGTTGTATGCAATACTTGCAATACTCAATTACAACACACAATTTATTTTTAAATCACAGAAATATATATATGTTTTCCTACTGCTCTAACCTTCCCTGAAGGTTCTAAGTTAGCACCTTGCTTGCAGGGGTATGACAGAGTTTGCTCTCTCATTCCCTTTCTCTCTTATCTCTCTCTCTCTCTTTCTCTCTCTCTCTCTCCCTCTTTCACTCTCCCTTTCCCTTTCCCTCCCTCTTCTTACGTCTTTTTTTCCTCTCTCTCTCTTATTCACTCCTCCACCCTCTCTCTCCCCTACTGCCATCTGAACTTATTAAAAATTCCAAACACATGTACCAGTGGAGACCTGTGATTCCCTCCATGTTCTCCTCACCTGGCTGCAACAATTATTGAGGCAAGGCCAGTTTTGTTTCACCGAACGTCCCCACCCGCTGGCTCTGGTTTCATCTGCTGTCCCTTGCCCTTGCCCAGGTTCTCAACTCCCCAGATATTTTGAAGCACATTCCTGCCCGCAGCCCACACCTCCCTAGACAGCCCCAGAAATCACCCTTTGATTTGCCGTGATGTCGCAGCTTTTCCGCAGATGAAGTTGGCAGTGAGCTGAGATTCCACCTGGTAAGTACGAGGTGGCATCCTTGGGACCTGATGCCTAGCTTCTCATTCGTCTTTTGGAAAATGTGTTGTAATTTGGCACGGTGTGACAGCAAGTGACTTAATATGATTTTAGTGGAACTGGGGTTCAGAGGGCTGAGAGGGTTTACAAAATGGGTAACTTTTCTTAAGACATGTGTACATGTCTGTATGACAGATGAATAGTGATCTGGTATAGAGACAGACAGATGATGAGAGATGGATGGATAGATATCGAGAGAGAGAGAGAGAGTGTGTGTGTGTGCATGGGCGCACTCTGCTCTAAAGGCTTTCTGTAAAATGCCTCTTATTAGAATTTTCTTAGGCAACCTTTTATATTTTACTTTGCCATAGCTAAGCCCTTATGTAAATATGCTTTCAAAAATAAATATCCAGTTGATGACTTCACCATTGAGCTTGCTGTACTAAAACATGTGCTAACTCAAATTCATCAGTTTTTTTCAGCTGTATTGAAGTACAATTGACAAATAAAAATTATATATACTTATAATGTACAATGCGATGTTCCAATACGTGTGTACATTGTGAAATGATTAAATCAAGTGAATTAACATATCTATCATCCATATACTATGACTTTGTCTTGTGAGAACATTTAAAATATTCTTTCTTAGCAATTTTCAAATATCCAATACATTATTATTAATTATGGTCACCATGCTGTATGGAGATCACGACTTACTCCTCCTGTCTCACTGAAACTCTGTTCCCTTTGACCAACATCTCCCCTTTTCCCATGTAGCCACTGCCTTCACCCAGGCCCTACTCTCTGCCTCTGAGTTTGACTTTTTTAGATTCCATTTATAAGTGAGATTATGCAGCATTTGTCTTTCTGTGCCTGGCTTATTTCGCTTAACATAATGTCCTCCAGGTTTGTTCATATTGTGGCAAATGACAGGATTTCACTCTTTTTTAAGGCTGCATAATATTTCATTGTATGTATGTACTACCTTTTCTTTATCCATTCATCTGTGATGGACACTTAGGTGGATTCCAGGTTGTGGTCATTGTGAACAGTGTTGCAGTGAACATGGGGATGTAGATATCTCCTCAATGCATTGATTTCAATTCCTATGGAGATACATATCCAGAGGTCAGGCTGTGGGACTATATGGTAGTTCTAGTTTTAATTTTTTGAGGATCCTCCATAGTGATCACCATAATGGCTGGACTAACGTACAGTTGCATCCGCAGTGTGTAAGAGTTCTCTTTCTTCCATGCCTTCACTAACATTTAACTTTTTTGAGAATGGTCATTCTGACTTCAGTGAGATGATATTTTATTGTGGTTTTAATCTATATGTCCCTAATGATGAGAGATGTTGAGTATTCAAAAATGTACCTGTTGACCATTTGTATATCTTCTTTTGAGAAGTGTTTGTTCATGTTCTTTGTCCGCATTTTAATTGGGTTATTTGCATTTTTGCTACTGAGCTGATATGCCAAAAACACAAGATGAAGGACTAAAATCATGTGATGATCACAGCAGATTCAGAAAAAGCGTTTGGTAAAATTCAACATCCTTTCATGATTAAAAGCCCTCAACAACTTAGGTGTAGAAGGAATGCACCTCAACACAATAAAGACCATATTAACAAACACTTGGATAACATGACGTTCATCCATGAAAAGCTGATGGACTTTCCTCTAAGATCAGGAATAAGACAAGAATCCCCACACTCACCACATCTACTCAACACAGCATTGGAAGTCCTAGCCAAAACAATTAGGCAAGAAAAAGGAATTAATGAAACCCAAATTGAGAAAAAAGATGTTACATTGTCTCTGTTTGCCCATGGCATAATCTTATATGTAGAAAACCCTAAAGACTCTGTCAAAAACCTGCTATAAATAATAAACAAATTTGGTAAGTTTGCAAGATAGAAAATCAACATGTAGAAATCAGTCTAGCCACAAAAGAAATTAAGGAAACAATCCCAGTTACAATAGCAAAAATTAAAAATATTTTGAAATAAATTTAACCAAGAAGGTGAAAGTTTTATGCACTGAAACTATAAAACACTGATTAAAAAAAATCAAAGTTGGAAATCAATGAAAAGATAGCTTACATTCATGTATTAGAAAAAATGCTATTTTAAAAAAGTCCATACTACCCAAAGGAACTTATAGATTTAATGCAATGTTTATCAAAAGCCCAATGATGTGTTTTCACAAAAATATAAAAAAGGAATCTTAAAATTCCTATGGAACTACAAAAAAAGTCCCACATAGCTAAAGTTGAATCTGAGCAAGAAGAACAAAGCTGGAGTCATCACACTGCCTGATTTCAACATGTGCTAGACAGCCACTGCCATCCAAACAGCATGGTGCTGGCATAAAAACAGACGCATTGACCACTGGAGCAGTGTAGGGAGCCCAGAAATAAATCCACATTTTTATGGTCAGTTGATCTTTGAGAAATTGCTAAGAATACACAATGGAGAAATGATAGTTTCCTCAATAGTGTTGGGCAACTGGATGTCCATGGCAGGAGAGTAGGAGTGGATGCCAATCTCACACTAGATACAAAATTAGCTTGAAGTGTATCAGTGACTTAAACGTAAGACCTGCCAATGTAAAACTCCTAGAAAAAAACAAGGGAAAAAGCTTCATGACATTGCTCTGGGCAGAGTCTTTGAATATGACCCCAAAAGACAGGCAACAAAAGCAAAAATAGACAAATGGAATTGCATCCAAATTAAAAGCTTCTTCACAGCAAAGGGAACAAGTAAAGAATGAAGAGACAGCCTATAGAGTGGGAGATATTTGAAGCCATACATCTGATAGGGGGTTCATATCCAAAATAGACAAGGAATTCGATCTACTCAATAGCAAGAACACCACCCAATTAATAAGTGTGCGAATAATCTGAATAATCATTGATTTTAAGTGTTTTCAATGCCTAGCATTTACTAATAATCTGTGACACAGGAATAGAGCCACACCCTCAAATTTACGCTTTTATGAATTACCTAAAGGAAGTTTCGATCAACTGTCAACTGAAGGATCGGACTATGATTACAGATTTCTCAGTATTCTTCCTGCCTCTCACCTCCCCCCCGCCCCAAGTCCCCTGCACACCATGCACACCCACGGGTCTTCTCAAAACTGTGGATTTTGTCTTGCCAGCCCTACTGCGATATTTCACTGGCTTCGTGTTGCTTTTGTGAGACGTAAACCTTCACAGTGGGTGTGGGTGTGGCACACTCGCGCTGACTTTGCTTCGCATGCGCCCTGACCTGGCCTGGTGCAGTGCTGTCTCCTGTCTCCACTCCCCATCCTCCAAGGAAGCCCAGGCTTCACGGGAAGAGTGCCCTAAATACCACTTTCCCTTCTCTGGGACCCCAACCCTGCCGTCTTCATCTCCCTCTGTACCTATGGAAAATGACTGCAATTTCAACAGTTCTTTCTAGAGGCTGGGTTTGGGCACCTCGATTAGACTATGAACTTGTAGGTGTCAGGAGTCACACATCTTTCTTTTCTGTCACCTTCCCGCCAGTCGGTTTCTGCAACCAACACACACGGTTCGTCGCTGTGAGTCAGCCTGTGGACTGGAAAGGCGGGGCATGGCACACAGGGACAGCGCTGAACTTTCCAAACCACAGGAAGAAATCAGCATTTTTGGAAGAACAAGTGAGTGGATGAATGAATGCCGTCGAGATGGCTGAGAAAACAGTTGCATGGAAGGGAGGAGAAATTCTTCTGGTTGTGGGGGAGGTGATTTGGGATTAGGAAAAGCTTCATGGAAGAATTGACATCTGTTCTGGGATGAGATTTTGATGTTTGGAGACAATGCAGAACATTTCATGAACAAGGAATAAAACGCATGGTTTTCTGAGAAAAAAGTAAATAATCTGGGCCAGGTGCAGCAGCTCACGCCTGTCATCCCAGCACGTTGGGAGGTTGAGGAGGGAGGATCACTTGAGCCCAGGAGTTCAAAACCAGCCAGGAGAACATAGGGAGACTCCCATATCTACAAAATAAAAATAAAAATAAAAATTAGCTAGGCATTATTATATTATAAAAACAAAAATAAAAAAATATTTTATAAAATAATATTAAAATAAAAATTAGCTCATGCCTGTGGTCTCAGCTACTCAGTAGGCTGAGGTGGGAGGATCACTTGAGCCCAGGAGGCCAAGGCTGCAGAAAGCTGTGATTGTGCCCCTCACTTCAGCTATAAAGGGACAGCTGAGTTTCTAACAAAGCTTAATTCATCAAAGCAGTATGTTTCAATGACATACAAGAGACTAGCTTTAGAGAGTTTATCAAAGTAACTTCCCACAAGTATTTTAATAATAAATATTCTAAGTAGCTTTAAGCTGCATTTATGTACAGTGAAATCATAATTGTGTTGATTTTAAAAAAAGAACCAAAAAGCCCCCTAAAAGCTTCTGTTGTCTTTCATTCTGCATACCCGGGTGCCTGGGACTCCTGCTATTTTTGACCTTGACCTTGCAAGTTTACTGCAGAAGAATTCACAAATTCCAGTGGTAAACAAAAGAAGAAAAGAACCAGATGGCACCAGATAGCTGTTCTCTCAAAAAAGGAGCTCTGCGAACCCTGTCTTTTCCACTTCAGCTTTCCAACACAATGGAGTTTGTACCATATAATTATTTCCATCAAACCAGGATACTTTCAAAACTGGAAAAAGGATTGTTACTGTGGGACCACAGGCCTCAATCAGGAGTTTCCCGGGCAAAGGTGGATGAATGTCAAATGCCAGTCGTGTTCTCTAATCAATTAATCATGCTTTGCTGAATTTGAGTGATGGAAACTTGTACCATACAAGAAATGTCAGTACTCAACTGTGGATAAAGCGTCGTCTTCAGGAGGTGAAATCCATGAGGTTGGGAGTAGGTTAAATTGTGAAGGCCTGTGGATACTATTATATGAGCATATTAATCTTTTAAATGATTAATTTATTGATAATCTGATAGATAATTTGCATGATCTTATTTGGATCTTCTGCTTAGGCATTATTATACTGGTCGTGTAAGCAAGGAAACATCCAGAAAGGTGGGGTACCTTCCCTGAGATCACAGCGCTAGTGCTGGTGGAGAAACCGGATGGAAGCCAGGTCGCTCTGATCCCAGCTGTAGTCATCCCCCGTGCTGCTACATACTGGTCTGCAGGTGTGTGATTTATTTTATTAGAAGCAGAGAGCCATTCAAGTTATTAAATCTGGTGATCACGCTGACACTTCTGTCTTGAAAGAATAATTCTGGTTAAGAAGTAAAAGATGGACTGATGGGAGAGGACCTAGAGGCAGGGAAACAAGCTGCTGAATTATCACACTAAGAGTCTGAAATGGAGCAGGTGCAGTAGAAATAGAACGGCACGATGTGTAGAGGACGGAAAGGCAGAAGGAAGCAGAGGGAAGAGACAGAGCTTCTCAGTGTAATTGGCTGTGTATGTGGTAATAACAGAACAGTAGAAAGAAATAGACAAAGTGAGGTGAGCTCTAAGCTAGATACACATTCATCATGTTCATACTGGCAATGGTCCGAGCTACGGTGCAGAGGAGTCACTGTGCCCGTCCAGTGCACTGCACCATTATTTACGGGTAAATAGAAAAGTCTTAGTTTATTTAATGTTTAAATATTTCCTTTTGTTCATTGGATTATTTGACATTATTCTTTTTGACATCTTGATGTGTTAGTAACTTTACATTATATATTAGGGTCATTTGCAATAGCTTAATGGAGAATCAAGTGTTTCTCACATTTTTGGAACCTTATTAAGATATACCACAAAATGCACCATTTGAGGTGGTCAGTTCAGGGATATTTTAGTTCATTCACAGACTTACACTTTCAGCACCCCAGTAAGAAGCCTCACACCCATTAGGGTCCACCATGGCTGCTCTCCCCACCGACTTCAGGCCTGGCAGCCAATGATCTGCTCCATGTCTCTCTGGATTCGTCTTCTCTGAGCATTCCACACACATAGCCCTGCAGTGTGAGACTTTTTTATTTTTTAATTTTTTGAGACAGAATCTCACTCTTGTCACCCAGGCTGGAATGCAATGGATGCAATGGTGCAATCTCGGTTCACCGCAACCTCCGCCTCACGGGTTCAAGTGATTCTTCTGCCTCAGCCTCCCGAGTAGCTGGGACTACAGGAGCCCACCACCACGCCTAGCTAATTTTTTTGTATTTTTAGTAGAGACGGGGTTTCACCGTGTTAGCCAGGGTGGTCTCGATCTCCTGACCTCGTGATCCACCAGCCTCGGCCTCCCAAAGTGCTGGGATCACAGGCGTGAGCCACCGCCCCCGGCTGAGACTTCTGTGACTCAGCATCATCTTTCGAGTGTCATCCCCACAGCCGCATACAGCAGAACCTGCTATTTTATCGGTGGATAACATTCTGTGGTAGGGATATACCATGTTTTTTTACCTATTTACCAGCTGATGCACGTTGGGCCCTTTTGCCAGTCAGGCCTGTCATGAGTAATGGTGCTAGGAACCTTCATGCACAAGGTTTTTTCAGAACATATGCACCCAGTTCTCTCGGATACACAAGCAGGTGTGAAAGTGCTCATCAACTTTGTGTTCGGCCGTTTGAGGAACTGCTCAACTGTTTTCCCACAAGGCTGTAACATTTTACATTTCCCCAAATGAAGTGCAAGGTTCCAAATTCTCCACCTCCTCGCCAGCTCCTACTATTGTCTGACTTTTTAATTTTGTCCATCCTGGCGAGTGTGAAAGGGTATTTCACTGCAGTTTCGGTTTGTATTTCCCCAGGACAGTGACATAGCACATCTTCCAATGTGCTTATTGAGCATTTGCATATTTTCTTTGGAGAAACGTTCATTCAAATCATTTGCCCATTTTTGAGATTAGGATTTTTTTTAATTGAGTTTAAATTGAGTTATCTTTATGTGTTCTAGATACAAGTATCTTACTGGTGTGATTTGCAAATATTTTGTCCCATTCTGTGGATAGATACTGTCTTTTTACTTTTTTGATGGTGTCCCTTGAAGCACAAAGTTTCTAAATTTTAGTAAAATCCAAATTATCTATTTATTGTCACTGTGCTTCAGTGCTGTACCTAAGAAACCATTATCTAACTCCAGATTATGAAGGTTTACCCATGTGTTTTCTCCTGTGAGTTTTTCCAGCTTCAGTGCTTACATTTAGGTCTATTATCCATTCTTGGCTACTTTTTGATGCATGATGAGGTAGGGATATCCCTTCATTCTTTCACATTAGTAGTCGAATTTTCCCAGCACTATTTGTTAGAAAAGACAATTCTTTGCTCATTGAATTTTCTTGGCCCCCTTGTTGAAAATCGTCATAAATACGAGGATTTATTTCTGGACTGTCAAGTATATTCTATTCATGTTTTTCTGCGGGTGTCTGAGTGTCTGTTATTTTTCCTTCATTCTTTTCTTCTTTCTGCTCCTAAAATGAGATACTACGTGTTGACTTAAATGCAAGTTCTCCAGTTTTTTCTTCTACTGACTCAGATCTGTTGTTAAGACCCTCTAGGGATGTTTTATTTCACCTATCACAGTTTTCAACTCACTCCAGAACTTCTATTTGATTCTTTTAAAACAGTTTCTATTTATTAATGTTCTCTTTTTGGAAATATATCATTGTAATCTTTTAAAAATTCTTTAGACAGAGTTTCTTTTGGTGCTCGTACATATTTATAATAACTGCTGTAAAGCCTGTGCCTATTTAGTCTAAAATCTGGGTGCATTTAGAAACATTTTCTGTTGGCTGCTTTTTATCCTCTGTGTGTGGCATACTCCTGTTTATTTACATATCTTGTAAATTTTATTGAAAACTGAACATTTCAGATAATAATATATTGAGGCGATTCTAGTATCAGATTTCTCTACACACACCCAAATGTTTCTTGCTGTTGCAGAGTTTTGCTGTGTTGTTAGATTTGTTTTCATTTCCTTTGTGGCTAGTTGTCTGTTTAGTGACTTGGCCTGACTACTTTTGCAGAGCTCTAACCCCTGCCACGGGTGTCTAACCTTTGGGCTTCCCTGAGCCACACATAAAATACACGAATACTAGCCATAGCTGATGAGCTTAAAAAAAATGGTTTGTGCATGATTTTCATGATATCCACCACCGCAAATAAGCAAACAAGTCCTTATATTCAAAGGGTTGGACATCCGTGCCTACAGCATGTGGACACTGAGCTCCCAGCCTTTTGTTAAAGCTTTTCATTTCATTTTTAAGCTTGGCTTTCTAAGATTTATATCTAGGCCAGTGTAATTTAGTGATCAATCAACGATGGGTCAGTTTTCTGGCATGACTTCCATGTACATTTGGGCCATCTCTGCGAGAAGGCTTTGCCTTCCATTGTCAGGCAGTTTATGAGACAGCCTTTGCTTTTACCTTCTGCTTGCACAGGGCCTCGAGGTCAGCCAGGGGTGAGGGGCTCCTGCCTTCTTCCTCCCCAGAGCTGTCCTAGGAGTGCCCGCAGTCTGGCAGACATGCTCGGCCTTGCAGGCACCCAGCTCTCCTATGTTCATACGTATCCAGGATTTCCCTTTAAATTTCTGGTCAGTTTAAATTTCTGCTCTCAGTTTGCCCCAACTGAAGTCTATTTCTATTGCTTTGGTAATGCTTTTAGGTTCTCCATTCTGTCCTCTCAACCCCAGACACCCCCAACTGAGCTAAGAGTCAAGTGTAACAGCCCCACACTGAATATAGAGATTTCCCAGGGAGCTGCAAGTTCCTGTGAAATATTGACTATGTTCTGGGCATGTTGTTTTTAATGGAATATTGAAATTGGTAACATTTCTTTACCAGCTTTTGACTACCACAAATGGGCTAAGGAGGGAGGAAAAATGAATGTAGCCCCAAATTAAAGTTCTGGGGTCCTGATCCAGACCCCAGGAGAGGGTTCTTGGATCTCACACAAGAAGGAATTCAGGGTGAGTCCACAGTGCAGAGTAAAAAAGGATGAGTTCATGTCCTTTGCAGAGACATGGATGAAGCTGGAAACCATCATTCTCAGCAAACTAACACAGGAACAAAAAACCAAACACCGCATGTTCTCACTCATAAACGGGAGTTGAACAATGAGAACACATGGACACAAGGAGGGGAACATCACACACTGGGGCCTGTCACAGGGTGGGGAGCTAGGGGAGGGAGAGCATTAGGAGAAATACCTAATGTAGATGACGGGTTGATGGGTCAGCAAACCACCATGGCACGTGTATACCTATGTAACAAACCTGCACGTTCTGCACATGTATCCTGGAACTTAAAGTATTATAATAATAATAATAATAATAATAATAATAATAATAATAAAGCAAGTTTATGAAGAAAGTAAAGGAATAAAAGAATGGCTACTCCATAGACAGAGCAGCCCCAAGAGCTGCTGGTTGCCCATTTTTATGGCTATTTCTTGATGATATGCTAAACAAGGGGTGGATTATTCCTATCTCCTCTTTTTAAACCATTAGGGTAACTTCCTGACATTGTCATGGTACTTGTAAACTGTCATGGCGCTGGTGGGAGTGTAGCAGTGAGGACAGCCAGAGGTCACTCTTGTTGCCATTTTGGATTTGGTGGGTTTTGGCCGGCTCCTTTACTGCAACCTGTTTTATCAGCAAGGTCTTTGTGGTCTGTATTTTGTGCTGACCTCTTATTTCATCCTGTGACTTAGAATGCCTTCACCATCTGGGAATGCAGCCCAGTAGGTCTCAGCCTCGTTTTACCCAGCTCCTATTTAAGATGGAGTTGCTCAGGTTCACACGCCTCTGACAGTGCCACCTATCTATTTCACCAGCCTCCTGGTTTCCTTTGGATAGAGAATTTTCAGCGCATTCTTTGCTTTGGTGAATTACCAGAATTCTGAACTGGCTTATTTTAGTTGTTTTGCAAGTATTTTCACTGTTTTCGTTGGAAAGCAAGCTCACTGAGGTCTCACGTTCCAGAAGCCAGTCTCTTTCAATGGTATTTGGTGATTGCTAATCTAGAGATAACAATTAGAAAACAAACCCAACCTGGTGTATTTAAAAAAATACTCAGTGCATTCTAGGAAACTTCTGGGAATGTTATATTATTTAAAATTTATATTATGCTGTAAACTGCAAAGAACATTATTTCCTTATAGTTTTGGGTGCATTGTCATTAATATATATGGAACAAAATAATCTGAAGATATTCTAATATACATATATATTTTTACTCATACACTATAATACTGAAAATAATAAATGAGGTACAATCATTTTACATACCTCATTATTGTTATTACTTCTTTTTAAAATAACCTCTTTGAGTTATTATTCACAAATTGAAATGGGAGCATCACAAAAATCCTCAGAATTCTCTGGAATTGCTCAGCTAGGGTGCTGCAAGCATCCACACTCTGGACTCACAGGACTTAATGGAAATCAGAGTAATTAAAACAAAGACATAAAACGACATTATCGATTAAGTGTAGCAGGGAAAAATCGAACACTGCATATTGTGGCTTGAATGGTGAAGTCTTGCTGCAGCAGATGCTTTACTGACCTAACGGTATCCTCTCCGTTTTCCCAAGTGACATGCTTGTAGCTTCCTATGAAATAAAAAGCACTTGGGAAAAGTTATATGGTCTGGCTATGTGAATTATTAAGTTTGGAGCAACCAAGAACTCATAGACTTCTTCTGGGACATTCATTCAAATTAAATTTATATAGGTTTGAATAGTTGCAGAAAATTTCAATGTATCCATTATTGATATTTTTTGTGAAAAACCTTGAAACAAATAGAGTTTATATGTTAATACTTTACACATTCTTTTTAGATTTTTTAAATAGTGAATCAAAATATTCAACCTTCTTATGCCTTTTGTGTAATCTCAGAATACTTGCCTGGACTCTGCAGGGAGAGCCCAGAAGTGGCTTCATGTTCTCTGACTTTGTGCTGCGTTTTCAGCTGCAGATATGTCACAGATTTTGGTGAAAGTAATTCCTTTGGCACTTAATCATGCATTAGTAGATTTATATTGAAAGATTTTATTGCTGTTTAACTTCCCATATGTTTTCTTTTCTTTTTACTATCACTCTCAACTATATTGTGAGTACTTTAAAGACAAAAAACAATATTATCCTCTAAAAAATAGTTCTATACTGGCCAGGACTTTGCCTTCTAATTAGTATAATGGCATTTATAAATGTTATTAAGTAAAACTTATGCAACTATCTAAGCAGTATCACCCTTAATAAAGTAAAGTGAATCTGAGGTCCCAGAAGACTGGAAGAAAAAGAGAACAAACTTAAACTAAAGCACAAAATGACTGCTTTACCTGAGTGTCACTACTAAGGCCATCTCTGTTCTGTGGGTGGCGGTGTGGGATCTTCTGCTTCAGACCTGAGTGTCATTACTAAGACCATCTCTGTTCTCTTGGTGGCGATGTGGGATCTTCTGCTTCAGACCTGAGTGTCATTACTAAGGCCATCTCTGTTCTGTGGGTGGAGGTGTGGGATCTTCTGCTGCAGACCTGAGTGTCATTACTAAGACCATCTCTGTTCTGTGGGTGGAGGTGTGGGATCTGCTGCTTCAGAGACTTTCGCATTACTTTCCATATAGTACTTTTATATAATTGATTCTTCATATTGAAGTTATTTATGTGGATTTAAATGTTAAAATTGAATTATGAATTTTATTTCTTAGGTTGCGATGTTTTAATGCTTCATTTTTTAATCTGTAAAACGTTTAGGATTTAACACCTAAAGTGAGTTTCATCCTTGTGTTGTTTTGTTTTAAGTTTCATTATTTCCCTTTAAGGAAAAATGTAGTTTACATTTCGCTTTGGTGGTTACAAAGCACAAAGCATGCCTCTAAACCGTAAGTAAATTAACAGTAAGAAATCCAAGAAAACCCAGCAAGGATGGTAAAGGCATTGCAAAAGTGTAGGGAAAGTCAGTGTAACGACACCATGATGGCCATTTCTAGATGAAACATATTTTAGCTCTTTCTTTTTAATTTATTCTCTGCTGAAAAACATAATTTTTAAACTTTGTTCTCCATTTTGCATGTATACAATATTAGATGAATGTACAAATATGTTGTTTAAGTATCTTAGAAACTTAAGAATATGGAAAATAAAACCACTTTTGGGGTTGGGGTTTCCTCAAGCCATTCTTATTTACTGAGTCGGTT
The DNA here is from genome assembly GCF_000001405.40 of Homo sapiens. NCBI lineage: Eukaryota > Metazoa > Chordata > Mammalia > Primates > Hominidae > Homo > Homo sapiens. Next base: position 16,098 of record NW_004166862.2, read on the forward strand.
GCCTCTGGAAACTTTTAGCTCATGTAACTAAACATCGTTCACTGCCCTGTTCTTTATGCATCTCAGTAAGTTCCACCTGCAGAATGGTGAAATTTTGAAGTGGAAAGGACCTTGATCATAAATTAGTTCAATCTCTATAGATGGTTAAAAGGCACAATTAGGTAAGTAAGATCTGCCATTTATTAAGGACCCAGTAGGCATTTGGTGTTTTGCATGCATTATTTCTCATGTTTATACAAACCCAAAAAGATATTCTCCCCTCTTTTTTAAAAGAAGACATTAAGATGTAGAAAAGTTATTTGCCCTAGCAAAAACTAGTGGCACAGATTCAAGTCCAGGTTAGCCTGTCTCCAGTTCATCCTCCTGTTCTCCAGTCCTTGTTGCTTTCTCTTGAAATTAGATTCTAGATTCTTGGATTCCTCCTCCAAAGCTTTTCCTATCCTAGCACTATCTCCAATATCACAAAAGGATTTGGAAATATATTGCTTCTATATCCCTAATATACAATAGGGATCTATTGCATTTCTGAAATAATGTTAGTTCTATTAATTTTTTATTAAATTTAATAGAAATTTCTTTTAAAATTTTTATTAAATCTTTTTTATTAAAATTTTTTCAGCTCCTTGCTCTTTACTTTAAAACTGTTTTTCCTTTGTCTTCCAACACATCAACAAAAGGACTTATCCAGGATGGGTGAAAAAAATCACACAGCAAAAGAATAAGAAGACAGAACAACCAACAAAGAAGAGAAAAATTTAAACAAATGATTTATGACAGAAGATATATAAATGGAAAATAACCACATGAAATCAACAGCATTATTTACCAGGAAAATGCAAATATGAAAGCACAATGATATATCACCTCAAACCAACCACAATGGATAATAGTAAAAAACCCTGACAATTCTAAGTGTCGGTGTAGTTATAATAAGCAACTAAAATTTTCATTCATTCCTAGTAAGAATGTAAATTAGTGCAAACACTTTGGAAATTATGTTGGCAGTTTATTACAGAGTGAAAAATACACCTAAAATATGACCCAGCCATGGCATTCCTACATCTTTAATCAACAGAAATGAAAGCAAGATCCATCCAAAGATGTGTATAGAAATACCCACATCAGCTTTGTTGATATGAGTTAAATTGGAAGCAGCCCAATGCCCATCAACAGTTGAATGGATAAATAAATTGTGTTGGAGTAAAAGAATGGAATACTATTCAAAAGGATGAACAATATATTGATACATAGAACAACCTCAATACTTTTGGAAATCATCATAACGACCAAAAGAAGCAAGATGGAAATGAAAAGTAATACTCAAAGAAGGTCAACTCTAATCTGTTGTGACATAAATAGTATCAGTGGTTTCCTGGGCCAAGAGAATAGAATGAGGATTGACTGTGAAGAGGCAGAGGGGAAATTCTTATTTTTGAGGCAATCGAAATTTTTTCTATCTTAATTGTGTTGGAGGTTACATATACGCATCATTTGTCAAGACATGTCAAACTCTGTATTTAAAATGAAAGCATTGTACTGTATGCACATTCTCCCTCAGTAATGTTGATTTAAAAACAATATGGGAAGATGAGATAATAATGCCTATGTTGCATTACTGTTGTGAGAATTCAAGGAGGTGGCCCTATGTGAAAATACCTACCATCTTGCAACTATTTAGTAACTAGCCACAATGATTACTCTTGCTCTGTTCTTTCTTTTTCTTGTTAGATGTTGTGTCCATTTCAACGTAGCTAATGATATAATCTTGAATAAGACTTTAGTTACTCCAGTGAGATATGACTTACTGTGATCCAGTTCCATCTACATGTGGAAGCTTGGACTTTTCCTTCCAACCCACCACCCACTTGGTTTCAAGATCTCCAGCATCTTCGGAGGGCAAAGCACACTAATGGCATGAGATGTATAAAAAGATTGAATAACCAGATGGAACTGTGTAAAGTCATTTTATAATATACAAATTGGAGGAAACAATTCTTGAAATAAATTGAGCCATTGTTACCGACATGGTTGAAATGTTAATTAAATTAATTTGTTAGAGTCAATGGTTCATCCATGAAATTGGCATCTTCCTGTGCCTGGATGCATGTGTTCTCTAACTTGGTATTCCCTTAACATTTTATTTGCAAATAATTTTGAAGTTTATTAAGCTGTTTGACAAACACTGCATCTTGAAATAATCATTTCATTGCCAAATTTTGGATGACTGCTTCTTTCTCATTCTATACATTTGTTTCTCTCAGTTTAGCAACTGACATTGTTCCTCTTCAATAGTCTTTTTTATGATGTTGACCATGGAATTAGCAGTAATGAAATTGCATAAGCACTGGCAAATTATACTTAAATCATAACATTTTAATATGTGGAAAGATGGATTCTTCTTTGCATTTTGTTTTCTATTTTCACAAGTTAAACGTTGAATTTAAAAAATGAGAATAGAATTTTGATAGCAGGTCTCATTCAAAAATTTCTGATTTTTCTACTTCATGCTTATGTTCTTATCTGGCAGCTAGAACAAATCTATTGAACTTACACAAAGAGATGAAGACTACATAGTCTTTCTTTTTTCTCTGTCAGTAAACTGTCAGTGGGCAAAAAGTACTTATGTTATTTTATGGAAGTAATAATTACTGATTTGGTCACTGAAAAATTGACTCAATCCATCACAAATAGCTAATAGGAACAGGTATGCTATTTAAGTCATTTGCACTTGTGTGTGTTTGTAAGAACTTACGTATAAAATGTTCCTAGTAGATTTTAAAAATGATATTATTTTAATATGAAATTGGCTAGTGAAGTTCTAGAGAATTAATGTTTACATTTTGACAACCAAATTCCTTATGTACTTTACATGTGTTTACTTAAAAGTCTTACAAAATAGAATTTGCCCTTCTTATGCTTTTTAAATTGAAGGCATGAAAATAATTTGGTCCTTTTCATGGAGATTTGGGATGAATCTGAACACTTATTCTTGCACTGTGCTGCACCCACATTCTGCTCTCATTTGCTCTTCACGTTTTCAGATCGCTGTTCCTGTCTCTGCACTTGAATTAACTGTAGAGAGTGAGGCAGTCTCCAAAACCTTCCCACCACCCTGTTATTCTGTTGTTTTTCTGTTTCTGTGATTTGAGAAGTCCTGGAACTAAGCTTTATGCTGAGTCTATGTTACACAACTGTGTGTGGAATGAACTCTCATCAAGACCTCCCGTGAAGGGAGGTGGAGTGCCCCTGGTGGTGGCACGTGGACTCAGTGGTGTGCCAACTCAAGGGTGCCCAGGTATTTCCCATCGTTCAGGGCTGGGTCTCTGCTGGAAGAGTTGAAGTGATGGGAAAGCTGGCTTCCAGAAAAAGAGGGAATTGTAATGTCACGCCATCCACATTCTCCTTGTTTCTTCTAATCGCTTGCAGTCCCAGCTCCATGACAAGGTTTGTGACACCAGCGTTTGCTTTAATGTTGAATAACATGAAATACTTACAATAGCAAACCTTATGTTATTCTGGCTTACATTACAGTTTCATGTGGCTTTATATTTATTCTTATTTATTTAATTTATTTGATCATAAATTATCAATTGATTTTAATATTCTAAATTTCTCTTCCTCCACCCTTCGTTAAATAATTAGTGAACAAGTAAAGGATATGGAAATGTAATGGGTGGTTTACTACCTTAGAGATATTTCTTTACTCTGAGTTCCTCATTTATTTTACCAGTTTGATCTTAACACACTGAGGTTTTTTAAAGGAATATAACTTTAATCCTAAATGCTTTCTGTAATATTAGGTAGCAGAAATAAAGACCTATGTTTATGTGTGTATGTGTATATGTGTGTGTATCTGTGTGTGTATCTCACACTTGTTTGGCCTTTCCTATATTTGTTTTAGGGAATTTTCTTTCTTCTGACTTTTATTGCCTTTGCTGACTTCTTCCTTTTCAGGTTAATATAATGTACAAAATGCAGAGTAACCAAGTTCAAGTGTATATAACAATTTATTGCATCATTTAAAAAGTATAATAATCTACAATTGATAAGAAATGAATGGTTTGAGATGATAATAGATTTAGAGTTCTAGCTCACGCCAACACTAAAATAACCATATGAGATAAAATAACATTTTCTTTTTCCAGCAAAGCGAAAAAACCTGATTAATCCTACCACTAAAAAAAAAACACTAAAATTACTGGAATACACACACACACACACACACACACACACACACACACATATACGTACATATCTATACTGAGATATGTGTATGCACATATATGTATAGAGACGTAAGTGTGTGTATGTATGTGCGTGTGTATATAGATATAAGATATAGGTATAGAGAGAGATTGTAGGGACCAAGAGGGGATACGGGTAGAAGGATTAGAAAGCTGTTATGATGTGGGTGGGAAGTGATGGACACAAATCAAAATGGAGGCTTTACTGTGAGCACTTAAATGGTTTTCAAAGAATCTACAGAGAAAGGGTGATAAAAGTTCTGTGATGAAAAAAGAAATTAAGCAAATAATATGATAAATATTTGAATGTATCTAGTCAAACACCATAAATAATGTTTTAGGGGGCCAGAAAAGATAGAACGAATAGACCCAAGATTAGCTTGTAATTTGGGAGATGGGATAACGTAAGTTTGTTGAGAAATTTTAGTTCCGGAACCTTGCTAAATAGAATATATGACTTTAAGTACTGATGTATTAAATTTTGCAGTGGTTGATTTTGAGTGCCAGTCTGACTGGATTAGGGGTGCCCTGATAGCTGGTAAAGCGTTCACTTTCCTCAGCGCATCAGCAGACTCTGAGCCTATCCTCCTCCCCCTGCAAGGGAAACCCAGGTGAACTGGCCCTGGATTGGAAAGACTGGGCTGCCCCAGGTGTGTCCGTGAGGGTGTTTCTGGAGACTGGTGTGTGACTTGGGGGACTGAGTGGGGAACATCCTCCTCAGTGTGGGTGGGCACCATCAAATCGAGTGGGAGTCCAGATGGAAGACAAAGGCAGAGCGAGGCCGCATTTTTGCTCTCTCACTTCTGGGACACCCTTCTTTGCCCTTGCAAACCAGAATTCCAAGCTCTCTGGCTTTTGGAATCTGAGACTCACACAAGCAGTGGTCAGGCTCTTGAGTCTTCAGACGTGGACTGAGAGTTACATCATTACTTCCTTGGTCCTGAGGCCTTCAGGCTTGGATTGAGCCAGGAGCCTGGCATTCCTAATTCTTAAGCTTGCAGATAAACCTACAGCCTATTGTTGGTCTCAGCCTTCATAATCAAGGGAGCCAATTCCCACAATAAACCTCTTCTCTCTGGAGAATTCTGACTAAAACCTTAAGATCTATAATACAACCACAGAAATAATAAAAATCAGTATAGTACCTCTAAACTATTAGAGAAAAAAGTAAATTTAAAAACATGAAACAGACAATAAAAGAGAAAAAAGGTATGGGAAATGGGACAAATAAAAATATTAAGTAATACAGAAATAACTCAAATATATCAATAATTACAATAAATGCAAATGCATTAAATTTTACATTTAAAAGACAAAGGTTTTGACACTGGATATTTCTAAAAATCCATATGAAATAATCTTAAAATACATGATGTTTTAGACAAATTTAACAGGAAATTGGCCTTCAGATAGAACTATATAAGAAGGAAGTTACTGGGCAGTGCTCTTATGAACAGCATCTGTAAGAGAATTAGGGAAGCAAGATTGGGCAAAGAAAGAAGTAAAAATGGGATGCAGTTGCAAGTGAGGCATCAGCTCGTCCCACTGGGTTTCTGGACCTGAGATGGATCCTCAGAATTTCCCTAACTTGAGAAAGGGGGCTGTGTCTTATACTCTTACATTGCCCAGTTTCAAATAGGGACTGCTTCCTGGATAGGAGTGTGACTTTGGCAAGCCAATTCTCTTTGTTAGAGGAAAATTTCTTAGGAAAGACTTAGCATAAAGCTGTAATTTTTAAAAAAGAAGACAAAATCAAAGCAGTACCTAGGAATTAATATACAAAAAATGTGCAAAACTTTTATGCAGGAAATTATTATAGCAAAGTATTGGTATAGGACAAGTAAAATCAACTAATGCAAAACAAGAAAAACTTCAGAAACAGACTCAGGGCATTATGGAAGTATTATTTAAGACAGAATTAACTTTGCAGATCAGTGGGGGAAAGGATGGACTTCAACAAATAGCAGTGAGACACTTGGTTAGCCCTAGGAAAAAATACAGTGAAATTCTATCCTTCCTTTGAACTATACACAATAATTAAGATAATCAAAGTGAAAGACAGAATACACTATTAGAACATAATTTGGAATTTATATTTATGGCCTCAGAAAAGGGAACGGCTTATTAAACAGGAGATAAAGAAACAGAGAAAAGATTGATATATGCAACTACAATGAAATTCATAACTTCCATTCACTAAAAGACACCATAAAGACAGTGAAATAAACGAGGCACAAAAGGAGATAAAATATTTACCACACATGTAACTGACATAGATTGGAATCATAATACCTAAATTAGTCCTACAAAAAGCCAAAGACAAGCTCATACAAAATGGGCATAAAATTTGAATATGAACTTAAAGGCAAAAATGGATAATCCAATAAACACATGAAAATGTTTGCCAATTGAAATCATAGAAATAAAAACAAAAACCACAGTGAGATACTACTTCACATCCATCAGACTGCCAAAATGTGCAACGTCTGACAATACTTGGAGTTATAAAGGATGTGGAACAAGAAAACACTTGTGTGCTGTGGGTGGGAGAGGAAATCTGCACACTTGACTACAGCACAGGGTGGCCGCATCTCCTAACACTTGGAGGACCTGGACTTTGATGTAGCCATTGCACTCCAAGCTGTGGGACCTAGAGAAACTATTGCAGGCGAGCGTGAGGTGACAGGTACAATATCACAGAAACAGAGTTTGTAAAAATACATAAGTGGAAACAACCAAAATGTGCATGGAGTAGAATGGATGAATCAATTCCCGTATATTAGCATAACAAAATACTATCATGCAGTAAAAATTAATGAATTACAGTGACCCAGAGCAACATGAATGAATCTGTGGGATATAATGTTTAGTCAAAAGCAAATTGCCAACAATTACACTATAATTATGCAGCATAACTCCATTCACATGCAATTTAAAAATATAAAACACCAAGTCATACATTACTAATAATAAGTGGTGCCAATCATAATCCCTAAAGACAAAATCCTGAATGCCATAATCCCAAATGTTGAAATCTTGAAAGATTAAAATTCCTAAAGTCTAAATTCTAAAAGTCTAAAATCCCTAACATCTAATTGAATCTCCAAATCATAATGACAGATTTGAAATTAGGTGTGATCAAAGCCTTTAAAAGCAAATTTTAAGGGGTGACCAATAAAGTTTGTTTTTTATGTTCAGTCCAGTGCATTGGGCTGGAAAGCCAGCTGAGTGGATTGGCCACATGATACGGCAATGAGGAAACTTCACTTTAAAAATGCGTCATTTGCCTGCGTTGGCATTCCTTCCAGCCAGTCGTCATTTGCCTGCATTGGCGTTCCTTCCAGCCAGTCGTCATTTGCCTGCATTGGCGTTCCTTCCAGCCAGTCATCATTTGCCTGCATTGGCGTTCTTTCCAGCCAATGACACTCCAGGAGCTCTTCATGAATTAAAGCCACATTTGCCTGCAGAAGCCAGTGAAGTTACCAACTGGCTCAAAAATAATCATATTCAGGGTAGGGTGAGAGGATGCTTACATAATGATGCTGCTGTTTGATCAATAGCATTGTTTCCACCAAATCTGCGGCCTGTAGATGAGTGCAGGCATCATGGATGTCCAGGTATCCAAAGCAATGTAAAAGCATGGGACAGAAGATGGGAAAATTTAATAGGGGATTTTCATGTCAGTGAACGTCGAATCATAGGATTTCAAAAAGAGCAGTGCCACATAGAAAATGAATGTGAACATATTCTCCAAGGAGAGCCATGTCCTAAAAGCAAAAAGCAGCCACTCATTGAGATGCAAGACTTCAAAACACAGCTCATGGCCCTGAAAGTCAGCCAGATCTAATGGGTTGTCTCCATGCAATTGCCCATTGCCCATTCCTGTCATATGCTTTTTCATGTGTCAATTTATTTTTAGTTTTTCCGTTTTTGTTTCTATGTTTAGTTTTCTTTTCCCACTCTCTTTGGTTGTCTGCATTATTTATTAGAATTTACTATGCATTGAGGCTGGGCGCGGTGGCTCACGCCTGTAATCCCAGCACTTTGGGAGGCCGAGGCGGGTGGATCACGAGGTCAAGAGATCGAGACCATCCTGGCCAACATGGTGAAACCCCGTCTCTACTAAAAATACAAAAAAATAGCTGGGCATGGTGGTGGACGCCTGTAGTCCCAGCTGCTTGGGAGGCTGAGGCAGGAGAATGGCATGAACCTGGGAGGCAGAGCTTGCAATGAGCCGAGATGGCACCACTGCACTCCAGCCTGGGCAACAGAGCGAGACTCTGTCTCAAAAAAAAAAAAAAAAAAAAGAATTTACTAAGTATTTCTTCTTCACATCATTTCTAATACTGGAGGTATAAATTGTGTGAAGACTTCTAATTCATATTATGCCGTTTTTGCAAATTTGACTCCACAAAACTGCATTCCTGCAACATTGACTTAGTGTACAAGCATCGTGCTGTATGGAAAGGTGTTGAAACTTCCTGAATAAATAAGGAGATGTCCTTTGTGTACATCTGCATTTGTGAGAGAGAAACTTTCTGGAGATCTCAGCTCTTTGGGCAGCTGCATGTGAGCTGGTGGTGACCCGTTGCTGTTCTGATCTCCTCAACACACTTGGGTTGTCCCTCACGGTGTTCCAGATGCCCACAAATGTAGAGCTGGGTGCCCACACAATCACCAACCTCGGCGCTATGCATTTACACAGTTCCCTTTTGACCGATTCCTTTATGAACACTCTTTGTCTGTTCATACACCTGCTCATAGCTGTTTTACCTGTGTATAAGCAATAGTGCGTGATATAATTTCAAAGGAAGACATTTTGAGTAGTGAATACAAGCAGGTTACAGAGAATACGGTGCAGTGAGATTCCATTTGATATAAAAATGTAAATATATGTACGGAAAGGTTGAGAAGGAGAGAAATGAAACAGAAAGGGAGAGAAAGAGAGAAACGGACAGATGAAGACCAGGATAAAGGAGAACCGGAGAGGACTGAAAACATAGTTCTATTCCCGGCAGGGTCTCTGGGTGGTGGAATTGAGAAAACAATTGTTTCCGCTAGTTGCTCGTTTTGAAATTAGTAATTCACAGGTTTTTCTCAGTTATCTCCTATTAAAAGTTTTAATGGGGCTGGGTATGGTGGCTCATGCCTATAATCCCAGCACTTTGGGAGGCTGAGGCGGGTGGGTCATTTGAGGTCAGAAGTTTGAGATCTGTCTGACCAACATGGTGGGACTCCATCTCTACTAAAATACAAAAATTAGCCAGGCATTGTACCTCACGCCTGTAATCCCAGCTCCTCAGGAAGCTGAGGCAGGAGAATCACTTGAACCCGGGAGACAGAGGTTGCAGTGAGCCAGGATCACACCACTGCACTCTGGCCTGGGCGACCGAGTGAGAGTGAGACTCCTCAAAAAAAAAAAGAAAAAGTTTTAATAAGGAATAGAGCATAACAAAGCAGGAGCTAAGTGAGTGAGAACTGTTTCCACTGGAAGCCCAGCATCGTCAGCAGCAAGTGCCTCTTTAGGAGGCAAAGTTCCAGCCAAAGTCAGGGCCAAAGGTAACAGCAGACCTGGCATACTATGTGATTTTTAAGCTGTTTGTTGTCTCTCATCTCTCTTTATCCAATAGGAGATACAAGTGTTTTTTGTTTGTTTGTTTTTAAATTTTTTTAAAAAGTAGAGATGGAGTTTTGTCATGTTGCTCAGTCTGGTCTTGAAATCCTGGACTTAAGTGATCATCCTGTCTCAGCCTCCAAAAGTGCTGAGATTACAGGCGTGAGACACTGCGTCTGGCCCCAGAAACAAGTGCTGGGCACAGTGGAATGGCACGCCAAGGTGTGGAGGCCGGAGGTCAGTATCCATCTGCACAGGTTTAGGGGAAAGTTGCCCAACACACTAAAGGCCACTGCACAAGACAACTGTCTCTTTATGGTCCCAGCAACTTTATGGCTCCAGCTGACCTGCATGGCCATGTGTCATGTTACACATTACGGCTGGCATGACCCCTCCACAGCCATGTTTAGTCAGGACTGGAGAGCATGGATTCCCTCCAGCACCCAGTTGAGTCTTGTTTGTATCAACACAGATGTGCATGCTGGAGACAGCCCCTACTTTCTTAACAGTCCCAGCAGCTGGGCACAGATCCAGACATCAGCACTGCTGGGAACGGCAGGCCAAGCCGGGCACGCAGTAGGGCCTGTGCCTTGCTCTGGGTGTCCTGTCGTGCGGTGGAGGGTAGCCTCCAGGCAGATCGCCATCCTTGGCACGACCACTGCAGGTCATTTCACACTGGGGCCCCTGTGGTCTTGCATTTCCTCTCCCATCTTTGAGCACATTATAAAAAGTTCTTTGTTGGCCGGGCACAGTGGCTCATGCCTGTAATCCCAGAACTTTGGGAGGCCAAGGTGGGTGGATCATGAGGTCAAGCATTCAAAACCAGCCTGGCCAACATAGTGAAACCCCGTCTCTACTAAAAAAACTTACAAAAAATTAGCTGGGCGTGGTGGTGGGTGCCTGTAATCCCAGCTACTTGAGAGGCTGAGGCAGGAGAATCACTTGAACCTGGGAGGTGGAGGTTGCAGCGAGCCGTGATTGCGCCACTGCACTCCAGCCCAGATGACAGTGCGAGACTCTGTCTCAAAAAAAAAAAAAACCAGCACTTTGGGAGGCCGAGGCGGGCGGATCACGAGGTCAGGAGATCGAGACCATCCCGGCTAAAACGGTGAAACCCCGTCTCTACTAAAAAATACAAAAAATTAGCCGGGCGTAGTGGCGGGCGCCTGTGGTCCCAGCTACTTGGGAGGCTGAGGCAGGAGAATGGCGTGAACCCGGGAGGCGGAGCTTGCAGTGAGCCGAGATCCCGCCACTGCACTCCAGCCTGGGCGACAGAGCGAGACTCCGTCTCAAAAAAAAAAAAAAAAAAAAAAAAAAAAAAAAAAAAAAGTTGTCTCTCTTGTATTTTCCACTATTGAATAGAGTGTGCTTAGGATGAAAATGACAGAGAATGCGATTTTCATTTCTTGATCCGTCAATATTTTACTATGTGTCTGGGATGAAGCACTAATTACCTTAAAACTGTAATTAACTTGTCAAATGTCTTTCCTCCAAGAATCCTGCAAAGGTCTTAAAGGTCTTAAAGGGTGAGTAAGTAATAGTCTGTGATATAATTTAAAAGGAAGGCCACAAACCACTTTTTCTGTTTTTCTTTGATTTCATGGAATAGTCTTCATTCTTTTCTCCTGTCCTCCTATTTGGATACATGTGGCTGCCGTGAGCCTCTAGACGCCCTCCCCCACTTCCAGCACTTGGCTGACGGATTTGCTGGTCTGTGACCCCTGCCAGAGGCCTGAAAATCTTCGCAGTTTATGCAAAGCCAAGAGAGGCTGCGTGCAAGGCAGCTGAGGGGAGCCCTCCAATACGCCAGCATAGGATTTGGAGCTTTGGAAGGTCAGTGGGGCTAAGTCCTTTTCAAGCAAGACAAAGCTGAGGAAACACAGGCTCAGGCCCAACGTCCACAAGTACACATTGCTCCAGAGAGGAGCTGGAGTTCTGGGACCGGCATTTAGTGGAGGACACCCCAGAGCCCACGAGGAGGGAACTGGAGGGAGAATTCAGCCAGTGCTAGCCATAACATCACTCAGCCACAGTGAGCCATGGCTGGGCCTGCCCCTGTGAGGCACAGACACCTTGCTTTTTTTTTGTTTTGCTTTGCTTTGTTTTTTGAGACGGAGTCTCACTCTCTTGCCCAGGCTGGAGTGCAATGGTGCCATCTCAGCTCACTGCAGCCTCTGCTCCCCAGATTCAAGCGATTCTCCCACCTCAGCCTCTCAAGTAGCTGGGATTACAGGCACCTGCCACAATGCCTGTCTAATTTTTGTATTGTTAGTAGAGATGGGGTTTCACCATGTTGACCAGGCTGGTCTCGAACTCCTGACCTCAGGTGATCTGCCCACCTTGGCTTCCCAAAGTGCTGGGATTACAGGCATGAGCCACTGTGCCCTGCCCACCCTTGTTTTAAGGTTGGAATTAATACATAGATGAAAGAACAGTGGAAACCGGTGTAATAAAACTCTTCGGCCACACACTCATTTCATCCCCTCCATCTTCCTACAACTGCCTTGATTTTGTTGATGTCGATCTCAGAGGAATCTGGCCCCACTGACTGTTTTAATAATGATTCCATTCCCCTTCCTGGTGACTGTCAGTGAGTGGGTGTTGGAAAGTGACTGTATTTGGACAGGGCCTTTGAAGAGGTGATCAAGTTACAACAAGGCCACGAGGGTGCCTAATCCAGTCTAACGATGTCCTTCTACGAAGAGGAGATTTGGACACACAGAGATACTGGGGATTTGTGTGCCTAGAGGGACGACCGCGCGAGGACATAGCCAGCAGCCGCGTCTCAAGACAAAGAGGCGGCCCCTGAGAAACCACCCTGCCTGTACCTCGACCTTCGCCTTCCAACCCCGAGAAAGACAAGGACATAGATGTCTGTGGTTACTACCCGGGCTCTGGTGTTAGGGCAGCTGAACCGGCTGAGACTAGGGGCCCTGGACCTGGGACCCTGTCCCCATCCTCCCTCCCTTGTGGTGACATCTTCTGCATATGCAAAGCGCAGGACCTGGAATGAAGCTGCCGTTTGGGCCACAGGAGATAAGGAATTTCCTTTTGATTTCAGCGTGTTTGGGCCAATTTCTTTCTCCTCCTGCCACCTGAAGCTGAAGCGTCCTGTTAGTATCATCACTAACAGGATATGCCTGTAATCTCAGCACTTTAGGAGGCCAAGGTGGGCAGATCACATGAGGTCAGGAGTTTGAGACCAGCCTGGTCAACATAGCGAAACCCCATCTCTACAAACAATATAAAAATTAGCCGGGCGTGGTGGCAGGTGCCTGTAATCCCAGCTACTCGAGAGGCTGAGGTGGGAGAATCGGTTGAACCTGGAGGCAGAGATTGCAGTGAGCCGAGATGGCACCATTGCACTCCAGCTTGGGCAACAGAGGGCGACTCTGTCTCAAAAAACAAAGCAAAACGAAAGAAACAGGACGTCCTGTTTCTGTGTTTAGTATAGTATCTGTGTTAGTATCCACTCTTGCTGTGCCCCCGCTGGCCGGCCTGTCCTGGTCAAACCCTGGCCCTGGGCCTGATGCTCCTCTAAGAATCGCCGCTCTCCCCAGTCAGAGTCCTCATGGCAGCCCCACGGTCAGCAGAGCCACGGGCCACCCTCACCCCGAGTCCCGCTGGAAGCCACTCGCCAAGCAGCCTCTCAGGTACCGCCCTCTGTGATAAACAGGGCACCATGTCCAGGCCAGGAGCCTCCACGAGAGAAAGGTCAGGGGGACGGAGCGTGGGGGGGACCGCGTGCACGAGGCGGGGACAGAGGGTCGGGGGGACGCGTGCACGAGGCAGGGATGGAGCCTGGGGCGGGGGGACGCGTGCACGAGGCGGGGATGGAGCCTGGGGCGGGGGGACGCGTGCACGAGGCGGGGACGGAGCGTGGGGGGACCGCGAGCACGAGGCGGGGACGCAGCGCGGGGGGACCGCGTGCATGAGGCGGGGACAGAGGGTCGGGGGGACGCGTGCACGAGGCGGGGATGGAGCCTGGGGCGGGGGGACGCGTGCATGAGGCGGGGACGGAGCGCGGGGGGACGCGTGCACGAGGCGGGGACGGAGCGTGGGGGGACCGCGAGCACGAGGGCGTCGGCTGCTGGGATTTGAAGGAAGCTCTATAAAGCGAGGGAGCAGGGACCCCCGTTCCTGCCGGGGGTGCCGGGGTGGGGAAAGCACAGAATCTTCTTGAGGCCCTGGGCTGAGTGAGGGGCGCACAGGAGGCGGGAGCTGCACGGGTGACTGTGGGGTGGCGGCCGTGGCCAGAGCGCAGGGAGGGAGACGGGAGGCCACCCGGCTGCCGGGTTTCCTCCTGGAGGCTCCGTGGCCATTTTCCTGAGCTAGAAAACGGGCCCACGCCATCAAGGTGGGGACAGGCCCGGGCTCCCTTCTTGTTTTGAATAAAGACCATGTTTTCCACGTGGCGTAAGACATGGCGTGATGACACTTAACTTCGCACTACTAAAAATACCTTAAGAGATACTTATCTTGTTTAAATAATTTGGAATTATGGCTCCACATTAAAGAAAACAAACTCCAAGCAACAGCTTTTCTTTCTCTCCTTCCCTTGTGAGGTCCGCCGGCAAACCACCAATGTTTCCGTATTCAAGGCCAAAATACCCTAGGGAGGGACCGGACTCCTTTTATTCTTTACATAGCATTGTCAGTGTTTGGGGACATTGGAAGGAAGCTAAGGAAGCTATAGTGACAAACTCCTGCCACTCTCGCGTTCAGAGGTCTGCAGGACAGCAGGCTCGTGAGCCGGGGAGCGGGCTGCATCCCAAAGATGCCCAGGCTTCCAGGTGCCTGAAACCTGCAGGGATCAGTCTAATTGCCTTTCTCCACGATACCATTGCTCTTAAGAAGTGTTTTGGCAATGACTTTTAACAATAGGACGATGGCTGAGTTCCCAGATCTGCATTACGGAGGCATTTTAAAAGCCCACATCTTCCTCAGCTACACCGAGTCTCTCTCCTGATGTCAGTGCTGTGTGGCTGAAAATCAGCTTTTTTAGAAGGCCGTTTAATGTAGAGATTTATAGGGCCGCATGAACGCTGCATTTAAGAAGAATTTTTTTAAAACTATAAAGTATGACATATTTAATGGGGATGGGGCAATGTGATATGATGGCTAAGGCTTTGTAAAACTTTTAAATAAAATTAACACACATAACTTTTAATGCCCCCATGTCAAAGCATCTTAACATTATAAGAAGTAAACACATAAAATCCCATCCCCTTTCAAAGCCGCACTCAAGTTTGGATTCTTAGCTCAGTTTATCAAACGCTTTTTATAAGCCTGGAATGATCACAGAGATGATACTTTTTAATGATGCTAACGTTCTGGTTTGATGTTTTTAATCCAAAGAGGTTAGGAGGTGAAATCTGTACTAACCCTATTACTTCTGATACGAGCTCAGCCGCTCTGGCTCGGTTATAAGCATTGTTTGCATGGTCTGTCTTTTCATCCTTTTACTCTCAACTTGTTTGTGTCTTTCATCCTAAAGACATCCTGCCTCCTCCCGTTCCATGCTCACATGTGACCAAATGAAGCAGACAAAACCCGAGGCTGCTTATGAGGCTGATTGCAAAGCCACAGTGCAGCCAGGCTCCCTGCCCCGAGCGTCTCTGTGCTGGGACAGGCTCCAGGCCCCTCGAGTCTGCTAAGCCCTTCCCCAAGCTTTAGCCCTGTTTCTTGTATCACTTTAATTCCATTTCTTATCTCGACATCTTCAGCAGGGAAGGCTGATTTACCAGAGAGAGAGGGAGAGAGACAGGACATGAGAACACTGTTGCCTGGGGTTGAAAAAACAGTTTTTTTTTCCTGTGTATTTGTACTCCATTTTTTTGTTTTGACAGATTTTGGGGAGTCTAATTTACATAACATAAAATTCACCTTTTTTAAGTGTGCAATTCAATGATTTTCTTGTAAATGTACCGCATTGTAACCACTACCACAGTACAATTTTGGAACATTTCTACCACCCGAGATGATCTCTCGCACGCAGTTGCAGGCAATCCTCATTTCCACCTAAGGCCTGGCTAACCTCTCCTCTAGGTTTTACCTCCACAAATGTCTTTTCTGGAGATTTCCTATCAACAGGATGCTGTAAATTGTCTTCTATTTTTAGCTTCATTCACTGAGCACAGTGCTTTGAGGTTCAACCCCATTGTAGCACATAGTGCCTTCATCTTTGTTACTGAATGGCATTCCATCGCGTGGATATACCACAGTCATTTATGGAGTCACAGGGGATGAGCATTTGGGTTGCTTCCACTTCTTAGTTATGATGGCTAATGGCACTATGAACACTACTGTGCAAGTCTTTATGTGGACAGAAGGTTTTATTTATTTAATTTTATTTCATAGTGAACTATACTTGACATAACACACGTATACAATTATTATATATGTATATTTTATCAGTATTGATAAAATTAACACCCACACAGCCCATGTCAGCATCTCAAGGTTGAGAAATGAATCATTTTCAGTATACAAAACACCTCTGCATAAGCCATCCATGATTCTATCCTCTTCATTCCCAAACAGAAGTAGCCATTATCCTGCTTCTGGGATCATAATTTCCTTGCTTTTCTTTATGGTTTATTGTACGTGCATCCACAGAAGAATATCTGGTAAGTTTTACTTGTTTTTGTAGTCTGTAAGTAAAATGATATTGTATACATCTTTAGTGGTGTCTTTCTATCCCATCACTGTGCCATTTATCCAGATACATGCATGTAGATAGGATTTGTTCACTTTTACTGTTGTATAGTTTTCAAATATATAAATAAATCACAATTTTAGAACAAACCTGCCCTGTTGTTGATGGACTTAGGGTGGATTTCAGTTTCTGGCTGTGCTGCTGTGGACTTTCTTGTATTTATCTTCTGAATGTCATGTATTTATCATGTGCCTGTCAAAAGCTTCCTGGAGTGTATTCCTAGGAGAATTGCTAGTTCTTAGGATATTTTCATTTTCTACTTTGTAAGTAATGGCAAACATTCCCAAAGTGAAAATAATGATTCACACCCGCACCAACAATGTAAGCATTCCTGTGGTTTCACCTTAACCTTCACTCTGTATTGGTTGATTTTTTACTTTTTTCTATTTGGCCGGAAGGTAAAAATATCTAATTTTGGTTTTATTTACATTTCTTTGATTTCTAATAAGATTGAGCAATTTTTTGTTGTTGTTTTTGGACATTTTGTTTTGCTGTTTAGCAAAATGTCCAGTCAGGACTTCTGCCCATTTTTCTTTTGGAATTTCTCATTTTGCAGAATTGTTCAAGATTTTATTATGCTCAGGAAGCCACGTTGTATGGAGGAGAGTCAATACTAAGATTTGAGTTGGCTCCAAAGATGGGATTTCCTTTCAGCTTGGCGCAGGGGTTTTACTAACACATAATAGATGGACATATTTGGGGGGTACATGTGACAACCTAATGCGTTCGTATAATTTGTAAAGATCAAATCAGTGTACTTGGGATTTCTATCACCTTAAATATTTGTCTTTTTATGATTTTTAAAAATCAATTTTATTGAGGTATACTCACACAAAGAGTACATAATGTATGATTCTGGTTTTTTGAAATGCTAGGAAAGGCAAAACTCTAAGTGACCGAAAGCCCAGCAGTGTTTGCCCACTTGTAGGGATTGGAAGCATTGGCTGCCAAGGGGCATGAAGGAACTTTCAGGGATCATAAAATATCCTGTGTTGTGGACGTGGTTGTGGTTGCATATTTTTATTTCTTTTGGGTAGATAGCTTGGATAAAATTACTGGGTCTACTGGGTAACTTCATAAACTTTTTAAGAAACTCAACTATTTTCCAAAATGGCTAGGCCATTGCACACTCCAGTCAACACTGTGTGAGGGTTCCCACTTTCACCAACATTTGCCATCGTCTGCCTTAGTGTTACAGCTAGTTTCATGAGTGGGAAGTGGCATGCAGTGTTGTTTTAATTAACATTTCCTTAATCATAAATGATATACATCTTTCCATGTATATATTCTTCTCTGACTTCCCTTGATAAAATGTCTATTATATCTTTGTACATTTTTTAAAAAGATTGTCTATCTTAATTGGTTTGTAAGTTCTTTGTATATTATGAATACAATTCTTTGTAAGAAATAAGATTTGCAAGTATTTTTTGTAAATTTATGGCTTGACATTTTATTCTTTTTATGGTGTCTTTTGAAGCACAAAAATTTTAGATTTTGATAAAGTTCAATTTTTTTTATTTTATGGATTTTGCATTTGGTGTTATATCTAAGAATATTTGCATAACCATTTCAAAATTTTCTTCTGTTTTTTTAAATAGCTTTTTATAGCTTTAGCTCTTAAATTTAGACAATGATCCATCCCGAGATACTTTTTATGTGTAATGTAAGACACGGTCTGAATTCAATTTGTTTGAACATTAATAAATAGAAATTATTTAAAAAGAACCAAATAGAAATTCTGGAGTGAGTTGAGAAGTGCGATAGGTGAAATAAAACATCGCTAGAGGATCTTAACAACAGATTCGAGTCAGTAGAAGAAAAAACCGGAGAACTTGCAGGTAAGTCAACACATAGTATCTCATTTTAGGAGCAGAAAGAAAAAAAGAATGGAGAAAAATTAATAGAAAGTCAACTTGTTTGCCTACAGATATCCAATTGTCCCATACGATTTATTGCAAAGTATAGCACTTCATAATTGAATTTTCCTGGCATCTTTGTGGAAAAACAATCGACTGTAAGCCTTAGTGTTTATCTGTTTATCTGTGGGATTTTTCAATTATACTCCATTGATCTATATGTATACATCTATCTCAATATCACAATCTTTTGATTTAGTGGAGCTTCCGAATAAGTTTTAAAAATGGGAAGTGAAATTCCTCCATTTGTTTTTCAGATGTTTTGACTATGTTGGGTCTACGCATTTTCATGTAAATGTTAGGAACAGCTTGTCAGTTGCCACAAAAAGCTTGCTGGAATTTTTACAGGTGTTGAATTGAATATATGTATCAATTTCACATGAATTTTCATCTTTAAAATATTGACTTTTCCAACTCATACACATGGATTGTTTCTCTATTTAATATGATCATCATTCATTGCTTTCAGCATATTCTACAGCAAGCTCGTCCAACCCACGGCCTGAAAGTCACATGCGGCCCAGGACAGCATTGAATGCAGCCCAATGCAAATTTGCAAACTGTCTTAAAACATAGATTTTTTTTTTTTGCGATTTTTTTTTTTTAAAGCTCATCAGCTATTGGTAGTGTTAGTGTATTTTATGTGTAGCCCAAGACAATTCTTTTTCCAGTGTGGCACAGGGAAGTCAAAATATTAGACACCCTTGTTCTATAGGTTTCAATGTAAACATCTTACCTTCTTTCGAAAGTTTATTTCTAAGTATTTTATCCTTTTTAATGTGAATGGAATAGTTTTCTGAATTTCATTTTTGGACCATTCATTGATAGTATGTAGAAGTGAAATTGTCATTGTTATCGCCATCTTCTTTTTTATATTATTTTATTATTTTTTTGAGATGGACTTTCTCTCTTGTCACCCAGGCTGGAGTGCAATGGCTCGATCTCTGGTCACCACAACCCTGCCTGCCTGGTTCAAGTGATTCTCCAGCCTCAGCCTCCCAAGTAGTTGGGATTACAGGTGCGCGCCATCACGCCCAGCTAATTTTTGTATTTTTAGTAGAGACAGGGTTTCACTATGTTGGCCAGACTGGTCTGAAACTCCAGACCTCAAGTGATCCACCCACCATGGCCTCCCAAAGTGCTGGGATTACCGGCGTGAGCCACCGCGCCCATCACCGTCTTCTTCTTGATTGGCCTTGTATGTAAATGAAAGCCTGGGTATCCTCCTGCTCCTGATTTTAGGGGGAACATTCTGCTTTTCTCCGTTAAGCATGCTGTTAACCGTGGGTTTTTCACAGATACGTTTTATCACATTGGGGAAGTTGTCTCCTATTACTAGTTTGTTGAGAATTTATTCCCTGAGTGGATGTTGAATTTTGTCAAATGCTTTTTTTTTGTCATTCATTGAGATAATCATGTATTTTTGTCCTTTATTAAAATGCTGTATTACATTACTTGATATTTGGATGTTGTACCAACCTTGCAGTCCTGATTTAAATCCTACTAAGTTATGATATATCATATTTTTATATGTTGCCAAGTTCAGTTTTCTAGTATTTTGTTGAGAATTTTTTGCATATGGGTTCACAGGAAACATTGGTCTATGGTTTTCTTTTTTCATGATATTTTTCTCTGGCTTTGATATCAGAATAATACTGGCTTTATAGAATGAGTTGGGAAGTATTCTTTTCTCTTCTACATTCTAAAATAATTTTGTGAAGAATTAGTATTAGTTCTTTAAGTCTTTGGTAGAATTTGTCCTGAAGCCATCTGTGCCTCAGATTTCCTTTGTGGGTTGGAAGATTTTTCATTATTAATTCTTTTTATTTCCCATAGAAATATTCTGAGTTTTTTTGTTTTGAGTCATTTTCGGTAATTTGCATGGCCAGAAATTTGTTCATTTTTATCTAAATATCTATTTGTTGGCCTAAATGTGTTCTGTTTTTCCTCATTATTCTTTTGGCTTCTATAAGGTGGGTAGTCATGTTTACTTTTTTATTCCTGATTTTGGTAATTTTTTTCTTTTCTTTTTTTTCTTGATAGTCTAGCTAAAGCTTAGCCAATTTTTTTGATCTCTTTACAGAACCAACTTTTGGTTTCATTTATTTCTGTATTGATTTTATTTTCTATTTCATTGATTTATTATCTAATCTTTGTTATTTCCTTCATTTTGCTTCCCTTGGGCTTACTTGATACATCTTTTCTAGCTTCTGAAGGTGAAAACTCAGGTGATTTTATTGAGATCTTTCTTTTTTCCAATAGAGCCATTTCAAGCTATACTTCTCCAACAGCCACTACTTTTCCTGCATCTTATAAAAGCTATAATGTCTTTTTATTTTCATTGAATTCAAAATTCTACCTTTCATTGAGATTTCTTCCTTGAAATAATATTAGAGTATATTGTTTGTATTTGCGTATTTTCTGAATTTCTTCCTGCTGTTGATTTTTAATTTAATTTCTCTGTGGTTGAAGAACATTTTTTACATGACAATTAATTTTATATTGATTGAGGCTTGTTTTAGAACTTAATATGTGGTCTATTCTGGACCTAAAGATAGATAGTGTTTGAACAAAGGTCAGTTCACCAGGAACTTGTCATAATCCAAATACGTTATATCCTCTGATCTGTTCGGCTCAGAACTGTTTATCAACAAATGCACCGCGTCCCTGCCCTCGGGTCCTGTCTGTGCACAGTGCGCCCAGAGTTCCTTCTCTTTTTATCCGCCCATTACCTTCCCATTCAGTTGTTGTTATTCTTTACCATTTAGACGGCATGTGTGCATGTGTGTGTATCTTTTCTCCAAAGGTGAGATAGTTCACTGTTAATAGTTCATTTGGATAGTTACCTTAAGAATTTGGGACTCAAAGTTAATACTTTGATTTACAGGTCTGTGTATTTCAATAACTGTAAGACAGTGTATAAATAAACACAAAGACACACATACACACTAAGGGAAAGTACACTGGGACATTTATTCCAGGAAGACAACCTCACCAGAGTTCAGTCCACTGACATCTGGCAGCTCCTCTTTGGGGGTTCTGTTACTGAAAGAGGAAGGGGTTAGTTCTCAAGTAAACTCACCCCTAACCTGACTCAAAATCAGTACTCTGGAGGCTAGAAGTATAGCAAGGGGCCAGCCTAACAGGTCAGCAATTTCTACAGCAAGAAAGAGTAAAACATTGGCCACATTACGTAGTGATGTTAAAGCCAACGATATGAAATATATTATAGGAAAAGCAATATGTTATAATTTCTGAACCGAGGATGAAAATATTTCCTCGCATTTAAGCATATTCCCAGCATCCCTGGAGATATAAAAAGCACGATTTGCACAAAATGTGGTATGTGAAATATTTTAACAATTGTAAGTCCATAAACAGAAATAATTGTTCGCATTTTGAATAATAAAGTAATGAACGGCTTCCAGTTGAAGGGCTACGGCCGTCCGTGACATTCTGTTCCCTCCTGCCTCAAGGCCCCTGGCACTCACACTTGGTAACATCCTCCCTTTGAGTTGGGACAAAGTCCCCGCGGCTCACAGCCTTGGCCTCAGAGCCTGCACCTCCTGAGGCTCAAGCTGACAGGTAGTGGTTCAGGTGCCCTGCACATTCAGAGGCCAGTTGGAGAGGAAGAGAGCAGGAAAACCAGATGTAGGAACTGCATGGAGCAGCTCCTCTCCTCCTTCCCCTCCTCTCCCCCATCTTAGGGAAAGTGCTAACCGTGTCTGCTTCACCCTGCCCAGCTGCAGGAGTCCTGATGAGTGGGGCCCACGCCTACCCTCAGCTCTTGGCCCTGGTCCTGACGGTGGTGGAGTTTTAAACAAGCATTTTGGAATAGTTTGTTGTGCACAAATACATTTTTTTTTTTAAAAAAACTGCCTTACACCTGCCTGTCCCAGGAATTCTGAGGACATCTGTATTTTTTTGTTTGTTTTATGATCCTTAAGAATTAGGAAATTTGTCCTACCCTCAGAAAGTTTTTTTTTCTTTTTCTTTTTCTTTTTTTTTGAAAGTTAATGATTACCTATACAACCACAAAGGATAAAACATGTTTTGAAATTGTTAAGTATAATTGGAAAACATTTAGTCTCTATTTTAGATTATTTTGAGTTTAAATATAGTGATAGTTGTGTGGGGTTTTTTTCAGTGTATGTGAAGCGTGTTTGTATCTGCAGGTTAGCACTTTGGTCTTTCTGGTGTTCCTGGCTTTCAGGTAGCTACAGAAGCATGTGGTGTGTCTCAGTGGGTTTGTATCTGGGAGCAGCGAAGGAATGTAAATATCAGTGATGTTACCACCAATAAAACTCTATGCCATAAAATACCTCCCTTGTTTTTCAGAGGAGATGCACAGACTCCAGCCTTGGGTAAACAACAGAGCACAAGCGTGGTGCCCGTTAGTCAGCTGGGCCAGAGAGTTCAAAGCCAACCCACATACACTAGCAAAGATAGTCCAGGGTGAAACTGGGGATAGAGAGGCTCAGAGAGTCCCAGGAGGGAGGTTGTATGTCTCGTTGTGTAGGAGTCCTCTTTGCAGTGGAGAAAACCTGCTCCTGTTAACCATTCCTTTTCCGCTCCTTTTATGAAAGCCATTGTGTTTATTTAGTTCAGCAATGCTTCACTTCACTGGGTTCTTCCAAGTTTTGCTGATCTGCCCACGCCACCTTCCTGGCACCTGAAAGCACAGTGTTTTATTCCCTTTGGTTAAGTTTTACAATTAAAATTATGAATTAGGAGACGAAATCCTAAGTTCACACCAACTAGTTTGGGATTGAAACCGAATTCAAAGATTGACCAGGTTTAAGAAGCTCCAACCCCTCTCTGAATTCTTTTTTGATGCATTTTTAATTGATCCATAATAATTGTGCATCTTTATGGGGTACAGGGTGACTTCTCATACGTGCGTACAGTGTGTAATGATCGGGTCAGGGCCATCTCAAACACCTCAAACACTTGTCATTTCCTGGTGTTGGTGACATTTCAGAGCTTATCTTCTACCTGTTTTGAAATATAAAGTAAATTATTGTTAGCTATAGTCACCCTACTCTGCTGTCAAATATTAGAACTTATTCCTTCTATCTAACCGTCTGTCTGTGCCCATTAAGCAGCCTCTCTTCCCCTCCCTCCCTGACATCCTTCTCAGCCACTGGTAACCAGCATTTGATGCACCACCTCTGTGAGATCCACTTTGTAAACTCCCACGTACGAGTGAGAACACGCGCTGTTTGTCTTTCTCCACCTGGTTTATTTCACTTCACATCGTGACCTCTAGTTCCACTCATGTTGCTGCAAGTGACAGGATTTCATTCTTTTTAGGGCTGAGTAGTATTCCATTGTGTCTACATATACGGCACATTTTCTTTATCCGTCCAGCCTTTGATGGACACTAGCTTGATTCAGTATCTTGGCTACTGTGAGTTGTGCAGCAGTGACCATGGGGGTGCACATACCTCTTCCATGTAACCATTTCCTTTCCTTTGGGTATATGCCTAGCAGCGGGATTGCTGGATCATAGGGGAGTTCTATTTTTAGCTTTTCGAGAAGCCGTCATACTGTTCTCATTAGTGGCTGTGCTAACTTACATTCCCAGCAACAGTATATGAGAGTTCCCTGTTCTCCCCATCTTTGCCAGCATTTGTTATTTTTTTGTCTTTTGGATAACAGGCATTCGAACTGGGGTGAGACGATGTCGCACTGTGGTTTTGATGACATCGAGCATTTCTTTGTAGACTTTTTTGGCCATTTGTATGTCTTCTCTTGAGAAATGTTTATTCAGATACTTTGGTCATTTTTAGATCAATTTTGTGTTTTGTCGTTGTCATTGTTGCTGCTGTTCAGTGGTTTGAGTTCCTTGTATATTCTGGATATTAGTCCCTCGTCAGAAGAATATTTTCTCTTATTCTAGAAGTTGTCTTTTCACTCTGTTGATAGTTTCCTTTGCTGTGCATATGATTTTAGTTCAATATAACTCCCATTTGTCTATTTTTTGTTTTGTTGCCTGTGCTTTTGAAGTTTTGGCAAATAAATGTTTGCCTCGACAGATATCCTGAAGAATTTCTCCTATGTTTTCTTCTATCAGTTTCCCGTTTTAGGTCTTACATTGAAGTATTTAATCTGCTTTGGCTGTATTTTTGTGGATGGTGAGAGACGGGGTCTAGTTTTGTTCTCTTGCACATGAATATCCAGTTTTCCCAGCACCATTTATTGGAGAGACTGCCCTTTCCCATTGTTCGTTCTTGGTGCCTCTGTTGAAGAAGAGTTGCTATAAACACAGAGATTTACTTTTGGGTTCTCTATTCTATTGGTCTATGTGTCTGTTTTTATATTGATACTATTTGCTGGTAGAATGCATTTTTTTTCTATTTAACTTCATAATAATGCTATAAAGTAGATGCTGTTATCTCTGTATTAAAGATAAGAAATATGAGTCCTGAGAGGTTGTGCCTCGGTCAGTCATGTGGGTTAGGGCCAGACTCTGGCTGGGGCTGTTTCACCCTAAAGCCATGCTTGTCTTTCCCACAATGTGAAGACTGAAGGTTCTGTTGAGAAAATATTGTGAGAATTTTAAACATGTGGAGACACTGATCTAAAAACAATAGGACCAGTAGGAACACTTTCCTCTAGTGGAAGAAGATAAACAACAAATTCAGAAACTCAAGGGTACCATGACGAAAATACGTAAGAGTGACATGAGAGTAACTCAGAGTGCAGTGTGGGGTGAGGGCAGGACCGAGTCATCAAGACTCTTAGAGAAGAGCTCTCTGAAAGGGTGCCTTTGGAATGGAAATCTGATTAATAGAGAAGCGGCTGTGAGAAGGTCTGAAGGTGGATCTTCCCAAGGGGGAGGAATAATTTATGCAACTGCTCTGAGGCAAGCTTGTGTACTGAAAGCCTTCATCAGCTTTCTCTAGTTATGCTCTTTGCAGCTGAAATAATCTGAAAGTATCCCCTGTCCAGAACACAGCCCTGTCTAGAGTCACTCAAGAAAGGGGCCTCAGAACCGTTGTGGCGCTTCAGCCTCCAGTCTCATGGATGCAGTTGATCACCACCATCACCACCAGCCCAGCGGAGGTCAGTCCTTCCCCAGGGCTTTTCAGGTGTTTCTGGCAGCACCTGTCATGTGCTCTGCACACCCTGATGCTGTATGTTTGTGTGTGCGTATCCACACCATGCAATCACGCAATGAACAGGAACACAGTTTACATTAAGATTTCCCTGGAGCTCAGCACTGTGAGGGTTGGGAGCGAGCACCGTGGCTCGATGCCTTATCAGGGTGGTTGCACATCTGCGCTAGAACAGAATTCTGCAGGCCTCAAAGTCTATTAAAAAATCAAAGGAATGGAAACTGTTTACCCAAACACGAAAGGGAGGCTTTTATTCACGTGCACCGGCGGAAGCGGCCGGTTTGTTAAACACCTGCCCCTCAGCTGTGGCTGGCCCTTCAGGCAAAGCTCTGCCACTCAAGGTGTTTGGAAAACACTGTCCAGACGAGGCCGTCATGAAACGGCTGCGCAGATGTTCAGCTGCCTTTTAGCAGAACAGATGGATTTTATGATTTACAAAAGTGAAACCTTTCGCTCTCTTGGTGTTTTTTTGTGTGTCCTCTCTTCATCTGGGTGCACACAGGCCCCGGTGACACAGGCAATCCCAGAGCCCGCCCACGGCACCCAGACCGAACACAGCCAGCGATGCCTCCACACAGCCCAGATTAGAATTCTGGTTTCCTGGAATAAAAATCACACATTTCCCCAGGAGCTTCACTCTTATCTCTTCTTTTTCTCCCAGCATCTTTCCAATTTACTCTAATATGGTTACAGAAATGCGTCCAGTTCAAAAATATTTTTAAAAACCAATCATGAACTCTCTTTAGTGTAAAGTGAAATAAAATTCTGGGTATTAGCTAAACCTTTATTTGACATCTCAAGACATATTAAAGTTGAATTCTTTTTCACTGCTCTAAAATATTGTTTCAATGCAAGCAATAGGGCCCCTACTGTCCTGTTTTAATAAAGTGATTATTCCAAAGGAATGATCTGCTCTTGGATGAGAACATTTACATATGGCACTCTTTCTTCCAGGCAGGTATTTCCAACTCTGCTGTTTCTAAAAGGTCTCGAGAACTAGAGTGTTGGACGTGACTGAGATGGACTGAGAACACATTCTTCCCCTTTAAGTTATTAGATTCTCGGTGGTCCCGGGCAAGGATTGGGAAACGTTTCATTCAACAGGGATTGAGCCTGTCGTGCTGTTGAGAGAAACATCAGGTGCATTTCAACATCTTCTCATGGAATTTCTGGCCATCAATCACTGCAGGACTGTAGGAGGGACCCTGGGGCCCGGGCAGTTCATGACACGGCCTGGAGGGAAGCATACCGGCCATGGCCTGAGTCCCAGAGCAGGACGGAGGCTGCGCCTGTCAGGGGGGCTTGCCAGCCTGCAGAGTGTAGACATCGTGTAAATGTCAAGGAGTGTCACAGGACAAGCGTGTTGCTGAGAGAAGGTGTCCTGTGCGAGGTGTGCAGGGGTGATAGGTGTTGAGGATGCTGAGTCCAGAGGGCAGAGGCCTGGGGCGGTGGGCACGTCACCAGCAGAGAGGCCGCTGGAGACCACAGAGGAAGTCGAACCCAGGGGACAGAGCTGTGTCCCAGAATGAGCTGACGGTCTCCATGGCTGCTTAGGTAGAGATGACAAGGGGGAAAGAGAAAGAGGCTTGGCAGTTTCTGTCCCAGGAAGAGGATGGTTCCACTAAAAGTAGAAGGCCCTGGCCCGCTGGGGCTTTCTCAGGGGCTGGAGGGGAATGCGAGGAGCTTGATGTTAGACACGGCGGCAAAGCTAATGTAGGTGGAGATGCACCTCTCTAGATGGACAGCTGGCAATTTGCTGGGGCGTGGACGTCACGTTGAGTCCATTGAGACGCAGGCCTGCAGGGAAGAGAAGTCGGGTCAGGGCGTTCTGCTCAGAGGCCTGAGGTGGGGAGGAAGGGGCATGGAAGGAAATGCTGGAGGTTGGAGAGTGAGTCAGGAGGAGGTTGTCTTGGGGAGCAGTCACGGGGCCACAGGCATCTGAGATGGGGAGCGGAGATGGGAGCGGTCACGGGGCCACAGGCATCTGAGATGGGAAGTGGAGAGCGGAGCACTCACAGGGCCACAGGCATCTGAGATGGGGAGTGGAGAGGGGAGCGGTCACGGGGCCACAGGCGTCTGAGATGGGGAGTGGAGAGGGGAACGGTCACGGGGCCACAGGCGTCTGAGAGACGGGGGAGCACGAGGCCCAAGAAGGCCGATGGGTTTAGGGTGGGAGGAGCTCCCTCTGGAGATCAGTGTTTCCACAAGGTGGTAGGGGCGGAGGAAGCAGGATGGGTGCTGATGCGGTGCTGATGAGGACGCGGTGCTGATGAGGATGCGGTGCTGATGCGGATGCGGTGCTGATGCGGATGCGGTGCTGATGAGGATGCGGTGCTGATGAGGATGCGGTGCTGATGCGGATGCGGTGCTGATGCGGATGCGGTGCTGATGAGGATGCGGTGCTGATGAGGATGCGGTGCTGATGAGGATGCGGTGCTGATGCGGATGCGGTGCTGATGAGGACGCGGTGCTGATGAGGACGCGGTGCTGATGAGGATGCGGTGCTGATGAGGACGCGGTGCTGATGAGGATGCGGTGCTGATGAGGATGCGGTGCTGATGCGGATGCGGTGCTGATGAGGACGCGGTGCTGATGAGGACGCGGTGCTGATGAGGATGCGGTGCTGATGAGGATGCGGTGCTGATGAGGATGCGGTGCTGATGAGGATGCGGTGCTGATGAGGATGCGGTGCTGATGCGGATGCGGTGCTGATGAGGACGCGGTGCTGATGAGGACGCGGTGCTGATGAGGATGCGGTGCTGATGAGGATGCGGTGCTGATGAGGAAGCGGTGCTGATGAGGATGCGGTGCTGATGAGGATGCGGTGCTGATGAGGATGCGGTGCTGATGAGGATGCGGTGCTGATGAGGATGCGGTGCTGATGAGGATGCGGTGCTGATGAGGATGCGGTGCTGATGAGGATGCGGTGCTGATGAGGATGCGGTGCTGATGAGGATGCGGTGCTGATGAGGACGCGGTGCTGATGAGGACGCGGTGCTGATGAGGATGCGGTGCTGATGAGGACGCGGTGCTGATGAGGACGCGGTGCTGATGAGGATGCGGTGCTGATGAGGACGCGGTGCTGATGAGGATGCGGTGCTGATGCGGATGCGGTGCTGATGAGGATGCGGTGCTGATGCGGACGCGGTGCTGATGCGGATGCGGTGCTGATGAGGATGCGGTGCTGATGCGGACGCGGTGCTGATGAGGACGCGGTGCTGATGAGGATGCGGTGCTGATGAGGATGCGGTGCTGATGAGGACGCGGTGCTGATGCGGACGCGGTGCTGATGAGGATGCGGTGCTGATGAGGACGCGGTGCTGATGAGGACAGGGTGCTGATGCGGTGCTGATGAGGATGCGGTGCTGATGAGGATGCGGTGCTGATGAGGATGCGGTGCTGATGAGGATGCGGTGCTGATGAGGACGCGGTGCTGATGAGGACGCGGTGCTGATGCGGTGCTGATGAGGATGCGGTGCTGATGAGGATGCGGTGCTGATGCGGTGCTGATGAGGACGCGGTGCTGATGCGGTGCTGATGAGGACGCGGTGCTGATGAGGACGCGGTGCTGATGAGGACGCGGTGCTGATGAGGACGCGGTGCTGATGAGGACGCGGTGCTGATGCGGTGCTGATGAGGATGCGGTGCTGATGAGGACGCGGTGCTGATGCGGTGCTGATGAGGACGCGGTGCTGATGAGGACGCGGTGCTGATGAGGACGCGGTGCTGATGAGGATGCGGTGCTGATGAGGACGCGGTGCTGATGAGGACGCGGTGCTGATGAGGACGCGGTGCTGATGAGGACGCAGTGCTGATGCAGTGCTGATGAGGATGCGGTGCTGATGAGGACGCGGTGCTGATGCGGTGCTGATGAGGACGCGGTGCTGATGAGGACGCGGTGCTGATGAGGACGCGGTGCTGATGAGGACGCGGTGCTGATGAGGACGCGGTGCTGATGCGATGCTGATGCGGTGCTGATGCGGATGCGGTGCTGATGCGGATGCGGTGCTGATGAGGATGCGGTGCTGATGAGGATGCGGTGCTGATGAGGATGCGGTGCTGATGCGGATGCGGTGCTGATGAGGACGCGGTGCTGATGAGGACGCGGTGCTGATGAGGATGCGGTGCTGATGAGGACGCGGTGCTGATGAGGATGCGGTGCTGATGAGGATGCGGTGCTGATGCGGATGCGGTGCTGATGAGGACGCGGTGCTGATGAGGACGCGGTGCTGATGAGGATGCGGTGCTGATGAGGATGCGGTGCTGATGAGGATGCGGTGCTGATGAGGATGCGGTGCTGATGAGGATGCGGTGCTGATGCGGATGCGGTGCTGATGAGGACGCGGTGCTGATGAGGACGCGGTGCTGATGAGGATGCGGTGCTGATGAGGATGCGGTGCTGATGAGGATGCGGTGCTGATGAGGATGCGGTGCTGATGCGGATGCGGTGCTGATGAGGACGCGGTGCTGATGAGGACGCGGTGCTGATGAGGATGCGGTGCTGATGAGGACGCGGTGCTGATGAGGACGCGGTGCTGATGAGGATGCGGTGCTGATGAGGACGCGGTGCTGATGAGGATGCGGTGCTGATGCGGATGCGGTGCTGATGAGGATGCGGTGCTGATGCGGACGCGGTGCTGATGCGGATGCGGTGCTGATGAGGATGCGGTGCTGATGCGGACGCGGTGCTGATGCGGATGCGATGCTGATGCGGACCCGGTGCTGATGCGGACCCGGTGCTGATGCGGATCCGGTGCTGATGCGGATGCGGTGCTGATGCGGACCCGGTGCTGATGAGGACGCGGTGCTGATGCGGATGCGGTGCTGATGCGGATGCGGTGCTGATGCGGATGCGGTGCTGATGCGGACGCGGTGCTGATGCGGATGCGGTGCTGATGAGGATGCGGTGCTGATGAGGATGCGGTGCTGATGAGGATGCGGTGCTGATGAGGATGCGGTGCTGATGAGGACGCGGTGCTGATGCGGATGCGGTGCTGATGCGGTGCTGATGAGGATGCGGTGCTGATGAGGATGCGGTGCTGATGAGGATGCGGTGCTGATGAGGATGCGGTGCTGATGAGGACGCGGTGCTGATGCGGACGCGGTGCTGATGAGGATGCGGTGCTGATGAGGACGCGGTGCTGATGAGGGATGCGGTGCTGATGAGGATGCGGTGCTGATGCGGATGCGGTGCTGATGAGGACGCGGTGCTGATGAGGACGCGGTGCTGATGAGGATGCGGTGCTGATGAGGATGCGGTGCTGATGAGGATGCGGTGCTGATGAGGATGCGGTGCTGATGAGGATGCGGTGCTGATGCGGATGCGGTGCTGATGAGGACGCGGTGCTGATGAGGACGCGGTGCTGATGAGGATGCGGTGCTGATGAGGATGCGGTGCTGATGAGGATGCGGTGCTGATGAGGATGCGGTGCTGATGCGGATGCGGTGCTGATGAGGACGCGGTGCTGATGAGGACGCGGTGCTGATGAGGATGCGGTGCTGATGAGGACGCGGTGCTGATGAGGACGCGGTGCTGATGAGGATGCGGTGCTGATGAGGACGCGGTGCTGATGAGGATGCGGTGCTGATGCGGATGCGGTGCTGATGAGGATGCGGTGCTGATGCGGACGCGGTGCTGATGCGGATGCGGTGCTGATGAGGATGCGGTGCTGATGCGGACGCGGTGCTGATGAGGACGCGGTGCTGATGAGGATGCGGTGCTGATGAGGATGCGGTGCTGATGAGGATGCGGTGCTGATGCGGACGCGGTGCTGATGCGGATGCGGTGCTGATGAGGATGCGGTGCTGATGCGGACGCGGTGCTGATGCGGATGCGGTGCTGATGAGGATGCGGTGCTGATGAGGACGCGGTGCTGATGAGGACGCGGTGCTGAATGAGGATGCGGTGCTGATGAGGACGCGGTGCTGATGAGGATGCGGTGCTGATGCGGATGCGGTGCTGATGAGGACGCGGTGCTGATGCGGACGCGGTGCTGATGCGGATGCGGTGCTGATGAGGACGCGGTGCTGATGAGGACGCGGTGCTGATGAGGATGCGGTGCTGATGAGGACGCGGTGCTGATGCGGACGCGGTGCTGATGCGGATGCGGTGCTGATGAGGACGCGGTGCTGATGCGGACGCGGTGCTGATGCGGATGCGGTGCTGATGAGGATGCGGTGCTGATGCGGACGCGGTGCTGATGAGGACGCGGTGCTGATGAGGATGCGGTGCTGATGAGGATGCGGTGCTGATGAGGATGCGGTGCTGATGCGGACGCGGTGCTGATGCGGATGCGGTGCTGATGAGGATGCGGTGCTGATGAGGATGCGGTGCTGATGAGGATGCGGTGCTGATGCGGATGCCGGTGCTGATGAGGACGCGGTGCTGATGAGGGACGCCGTTGCTGATGAGGATGCCGGTGCTGATGAGGATGCGGTGCTGATGAGGGACGCGGTGCTGATGAGGATGCGGGTGCTGATGAGGACGCGGTGCTGATGAGGATGCGGTGCTGATGCGGATGCGGTGCTGATGAGGATGCGGTGCTGATGCGGACGCGGTGCTGATGCGGATGCGGTGCTGATGAGGATGCGGTGCTGATGCGGACGCGGTGCTGATGAGGACGCGGTGCTGATGAGGATGCGGTGCTGATGAGGATGCGGTGCTGATGAGGATGCGGTGCTGATGCGGACGCGGTGCTGATGCGGATGCGGTGCTGATGAGGATGCGGTGCTGATGCGGACGCGGTGCTGATGCGGATGCGGTGCTGATGAGGATGCGGTGCTGATGAGGACGCGGTGCTGATGAGGACGCGGTGCTGATGAGGATGCGGTGCTGATGAGGACGCGGTGCTGATGAGGACGCGGTGCTGATGCGGATGCGGTGCTGATGAGGACGCGGTGCTGATGCGGACGCGGTGCTGATGCGGATGCGGTGCTGATGAGGACGCGGTGCTGATGAGGACGCGGTGCTGATGAGGATGCGGTGCTGATGAGGATGCGGTGCTGATGCGGACGCGGTGCTGATGCGGATGCGGTGCTGATGAGGACGCGGTGCTGATGCGGACGCGGTGCTGATGCGGATGCGGTGCTGATGAGGATGCGGTGCTGATGCGGACGCGGTGCTGATGAGGACGCGGTGCTGATGAGGATGCGGTGCTGATGAGGATGCGGTGCTGATGAGGATGCGGTGCTGATGAGGATGCGGTGCTGATGCGGATGCGGTGCTGATGAGGACGCGGTGCTGATGAGGACGCGGTGCTGATGAGGATGCGGTGCTGATGAGGACGCGGTGCTGATGAGGACGCGGTGCTGATGAGGATGCGGTGCTGATGAGGACGCGGTGCTGATGAGGATGCGGTGCTGATGCGGATGCGGTGCTGATGAGGATGCGGTGCTGATGCGGACGCGGTGCTGATGCGGATGCGGTGCTGATGAGGATGCGGTGCTGATGCGGACGCGGTGCTGATGAGGACGCGGTGCTGATGAGGATGCGGTGCTGATGAGGATGCGGTGCTGATGAGGATGCGGTGCTGATGCGGACGCGGTGCTGATGCGGATGCGGTGCTGATGAGGATGCGGTGCTGATGCGGACGCGGTGCTGATGCGGATGCGGTGCTGATGATGATGCGGTGCTGATGAGGACGCGGTGCTGATGAAGGACGCGGTGCTGATGAGGATGCGGTGCTGATGAGGACGCGGTGCTGATGAGGACGCGGTGCTGATGCGGATGCGGTGCTGATGAGGACGCGGTGCTGATGCGGACGCGGTGCTGATGCGGATGCGGTGCTGATGAGGACGCGGTGCTGATGAGGACGCGGTGCTGATGAGGATGCGGTGCTGATGAGGATGCGGTGCTGATGCGGACGCGGTGCTGATGCGGATGCGGTGCTGATGAGGACGCGGTGCTGATGCGGACGCGGTGCTGATGCGGATGCGGTGCTGATGAGGATGCGGTGCTGATGCGGACGCGGTGCTGATGAGGACGCGGTGCTGATGAGGATGCGGTGCTGATGAGGATGCGGTGCTGATGAGGATGCGGTGCTGATGCGGACGCGGTGCTGATGCGGATGCGGTGCTGATGAGGATGCGGTGCTGATGAGGATGCGGTGC
Organism: Homo sapiens; assembly: GCF_000001405.40. Lineage (NCBI taxonomy): Eukaryota > Metazoa > Chordata > Mammalia > Primates > Hominidae > Homo > Homo sapiens. Next base: position 49,820 of record NW_004166862.2, read on the forward strand.
TGATGAGGATGCGGTGCTGATGAGGATGCGGTGCTGATGAGGACGCGGTGCTGATGAGGACGCGGTGCTGATGAGGACGCGGTGCTGATGAGGATGCGGTGCTGATGAGGATGCGGTGCTGATGAGGATGCGGTGCTGATGAGGATGCGGTGCTGATGCGGATGCGGTGCTGATGAGGACGCGGTGCTGATGAGGACGCGGTGCTGATGAGGATGCGGTGCTGATGAGGACGCGGTGCTGATGAGGACGCGGTGCTGATGAGGATGCGGTGCTGATGAGGACGCGGTGCTGATGAGGATGCGGTGCTGATGCGGATGCGGTGCTGATGAGGATGCGGTGCTGATGCGGACGCGGTGCTGATGCGGATGCGGTGCTGATGAGGATGCGGTGCTGATGAGGACGCGGTGCTGATGAGGACGCGGTGCTGATGAGGATGCGGTGCTGATGAGGACGCGGTGCTGATGAGGACGCGGTGCTGATGCGGATGCGGTGCTGATGAGGATGCGGTGCTGATGCGGACGCGGTGCTGATGCGGATGCGGTGCTGATGAGGACGCGGTGCTGATGAGGACGCGGTGCTGATGAGGATGCGGTGCTGATGAGGATGCGGTGCTGATGCGGACGCGGTGCTGATGCGGATGCGGTGCTGATGAGGACGCGGTGCTGATGAGGACGCGGTGCTGATGAGGATGCGGTGCTGATGAGGATGCGGTGCTGATGAGGATGCGGTGCTGATGAGGATGCGGTGCTGATGCGGATGCGGTGCTGATGAGGACGCGGTGCTGATGAGGACGCGGTGCTGATGAGGATGCGGTGCTGATGAGGACGCGGTGCTGATGAGGACGCGGTGCTGATGAGGATGCGGTGCTGATGAGGACGCGGTGCTGATGAGGATGCGGTGCTGATGCGGATGCGGTGCTGATGAGGATGCGGTGCTGATGCGGACGCGTGCTGATGCGGATGCGGTGCTGATGAGGACGCGGTGCTGATGAGGACGCGGTGCTGATGAGGACGCGGTGCTGATGAGGATGCGGTGCTGATGCGGACGCGGTGCTGATGCGGATGCGGTGCTGATGAGGACGCGGTGCTGATGCGGACGCGGTGCTGATGCGGATGCGGTGCTGATGAGGATGCGGTGCTGATGCGGACGCGGTGCTGATGAGGACGCGGTGCTGATGAGGATGCGGTGCTGATGAGGATGCGGTGCTGATGAGGATGCGGTGCTGATGCGGACGCGGTGCTGATGCGGATGCGGTGCTGATGAGGATGCGGTGCTGATGAGGATGCGGTGCTGATGAGGATGCGGTGCTGATGAGGATGCGGTGCTGATGCGGATGCGGTGCTGATGAGGATGCGGTGCTGATGCGGACGCGGTGCTGATGCGGATGCGGTGCTGATGAGGATGCGGTGCTGATGAGGATGCGGTGCTGATGAGGACGCGGTGCTGATGAGGATGCGGTGCTGATGAGGATGCGGTGCTGATGAGGATGCGGTGCTGATGAGGACGCGGTGCTGATGCGGATGCGGTGCTGATGAGGATGCGGTGCTGATGCGGACGCGGTGCTGATGCGGATGCGGTGCTGATGAGGATGCGGTGCTGATGAGGACGCGGTGCTGATGAGGACGCGGTGCTGATGAGGATGCGGTGCTGATGAGGACGCGGTGCTGATGAGGACGCGGTGCTGATGCGGATGCGGTGCTGATGAGGACGCGGTGCTGATGCGGACGCGGTGCTGATGCGGATGCGGTGCTGATGAGGACGCGGTGCTGATGAGGACGCGGTGCTGATGAGGATGCGGTGCTGATGAGGATGCGGTGCTGATGCGGACGCGGTGCTGATGCGGATGCGGTGCTGATGAGGACGCGGTGCTGATGCGGACGCGGTGCTGATGCGGATGCGGTGCTGATGAGGATGCGGTGCTGATGCGGACGCGGTGCTGATGAGGACGCGGTGCTGATGAGGATGCGGTGCTGATGAGGATGCGGTGCTGATGAGGATGCGGTGCTGATGCGGACGCGGTGCTGATGCGGATGCGGTGCTGATGAGGATGCGGTGCTGATGAGGACGCGGTGCTGATGAGGATGCGGTGCTGATGAGGATGCGGTGCTGATGAGGACGCGGTGCTGATGAGGACGGGGTGCTGATGCGGTGCTGATGAGGATGCGGTGCTGATGAGGATGCGGTGCTGATGAGGATGCGGTGCTGATGAGGATGCGGTCCTGATGAGGATGCGGTGCTGATGAGGATGCGGTGCTGATGAGGACGCGGTGCTGATGAGGACGCGGTGCTGATGAGGATGCGGTGCTGATGAGGATGCGGTGCTGATGCGGTGCTGATGCGGTGCTGATGAGGATGCGGTGCTGATGAGGACGCGGTGCTGATGCGGACGCGGTGCTGATGAGGATGCGGTGCTGATGAGGACGCGGTGCTGATGAGGACAGGGTGCTGATGCGGTGCTGATGAGGATGCGGTGCTGATGAGGATGCGGTGCTGATGAGGATGCGGTGCTGATGAGGACGCGGTGCTGATGAGGACGCGGTGCTGATGAGGACGCGGTGCTGATGCGGTGCTGATGAGGATGCGGTGCTGATGAGGACGCGGTGCTGATGAGGACGCGGTGCTGATGCGGACGCGGTGCTGATGAGGATGCGGTGCTGATGAGGACGCGGTGCTGATGAGGACAGGGTGCTGATGCGGTGCTGATGAGGATGCGGTGCTGATGAGGATGCGGTGCTGATGAGGATGCGGTGCTGATGAGGACGCGGTGCTGATGAGGACGCGGTGCTGATGCGGTGCTGATGAGGATGCGGTGCTGATGAGGATGCGGTGCTGATGCGGTGCTGATGAGGACGCGGTGCTGATGCGGTGCTGATGAGGACGCGGTGCTGATGAGGACGCGGTGCTGATGAGGACGCGGTGCTGATGCGGACGCGGTGCTGATGAGGACGCGGTGCTGATGAGGACGCGGTGCTGATGAGGACAGGGTGCTGATGCGGTGCTGATGAGGATGCGGTGCTGATGAGGATGCGGTGCTGATGAGGATGCGGTGCTGATGAGGATGCGGTGCTGATGAGGACGCGGTGCTGATGAGGACGCGGTGCTGATGCGGTGCTGATGAGGATGCGGTGCTGATGAGGACGCGGTGCTGATGAGGACGCGGTGCTGATGCGGACGCGGTGCTGATGAGGATGCGGTGCTGATGAGGACGCGGTGCTGATGAGGACAGGGTGCTGATGCGGTGCTGATGAGGATGCGGTGCTGATGAGGACGCGGTGCTGATGAGGATGCGGTGCTGATGAGGAGGGAAACCATAGGACGCGGTGCTGATGAGGATGCGGTGACGATGCGGACGCGGTGCTGATGAGGATGCGGTGCTGATGCGGATGCGGTGCTGATGAGGATGCGGTGCTGATGCTGACGCGGTGCTGATGCGGACACGGTTCTGATGCTGATGCGGTGCTGATGAGGACGCGGTGCTGATGCTGACGCGGTGCTAGGATGCGGTGCTGATGCTGATGCGGTGCTGATGAGGATGCGATGCTGATGATGATGCGGTGCTGATGAGGACCCGTTGCTGATGAGGACACGGTGCTGATGCGGTGCTGATGATGACGCGGTTCTGATGAGGACCCGGTGCTGATGAGGACGCGGTGCTGATGAGGACGCAGTGCTGATGCAGTGCTGATGAGGATGCGGTGCTGATGGAGGACGCGGTGCTGATGCGGTGCTGATGAGGACGCGGTGCTGATGAGGACGCGGTGCTGATGAGGACGCGGTGCTGATGAGGACGCGGTGCTGATGAGGACGCGGTGCTGATGCGATGCTGATGCGGTGCTGATGAGGATGCGGTGCTGATGAGGATGCGGTGCTGATGAGGATGCGGTGCTGATGAGGATGCGGTGCTGATGAGGACGCGGTGCTGATGAGGACGCGGTGCTGATGCGGTGCTGATGAGGATGCGGTGCTGATGAGGATGCGGTGCTGATGCGGTGCTGATGCGGTGCTGATGAGGATGCGGTGCTGATGAGGACGCGGTGCTGATGCGGACGCGGTGCTGATGAGGATGCGGTGCTGATGAGGACGCGGTGCTGATGAGGACAGGGTGCTGATGCGGTGCTGATGAGGATGCGGTGCTGATGAGGATGCGGTGCTGATGAGGATGCGGTGCTGATGAGGACGCGGTGCTGATGAGGACGCGGTGCTGATGAGGACGCGGTGCTGATGCGGTGCTGATGAGGATGCGGTGCTGATGAGGACGCGGTGCTGATGAGGTGCCGATGAGGATGCGGACGCGGTGCTGATGAGGATGCGGTGCTGATGAGGATGCGGTGCTGATGAGGACGCGGTGCTGATGAGGACGCGGTGCTGATGAGGACGCAGTGCTGATGAGGACGCGGTGCTGATGCGGTGCTGATGAGGACGCGGTGCTGATGAGGACGCGGTGCTGATGAGGACGCGGTGCTGATGCGGTGCTGATGAGGACGCGGTGCTGATGCGGTGCTGATGAGGACGCGGTGCTGATGAGGACGCGGTGCTGATGAGGACGCGGTGCTGATGAGGACGCGGTGCTGATGCGGTGCTGATGAGGACGCGGTGCTGATGCGGTGCTGATGAGGACGCGGTGCTGATGAGGACGCGGTGCTGATGAGGACGCGGTGCTGATGAGGACGCGGTGCTGATGAGGACGCGGTGCTGATGCGATGCTGATGCGGTGCTGATGAGGATGCGGTGCTGATGAGGATGCGGTGCTGATGAGGATGCGGTGCTGATGAGGACGCGGTGCTGATGAGGACGCGGTGCTGATGCGGTGCTGATGAGGATGCGGTGCTGATGAGGATGCGGTGCTGATGAGGACGCGGTGCTGATGCGGACGCGGTGCTGATGAGGACGCGGTGCTGATGAGGACGCGGTGCTGATGAGGACAGGGTGCTGATGCGGTGCTGATGAGGATGCGGTGCTGATGAGGATGCGGTGCTGATGAGGATGCGGTGCTGATGAGGACGCGGTGCTGATGAGGACGCGGTGCTGATGCGGTGCTGATGAGGATGCGGTGCTGATGAGGATGCGGTGCTGATGCGGTGCTGATGAGGACGCGGTGCTGATGCGGTGCTGATGAGGACGCGGTGCTGATGAGGACGCGGTGCTGATGAGGACGCGGTGCTGATGCGGACGCGGTGCTGATGAGGACGCGGTGCTGATGAGGACGCGGTGCTGATGAGGACAGGGTGCTGATGCGGTGCTGATGAGGATGCGGTGCTGATGAGGATGCGGTGCTGATGAGGATGCGGTGCTGATGAGGACGCGGTGCTGATGAGGACGCGGTGCTGATGCGGTGCTGATGAGGATGCGGTGCTGATGAGGATGCGGTGCTGATGAGGACGCGGTGCTGATGCGGACGCGGTGCTGATGAGGATGCGGTGCTGATGAGGACGCGGTGCTGATGAGGACAGGGTGCTGATGCGGTGCTGATGAGGATGCGGTGCTGATGAGGATGCGGTGCTGATGAGGATGCGGTGCTGATGAGGATGCGGTGCTGATGAGGACGCGGTGCTGATGAGGACGCGGTGCTGATGCGGTGCTGATGAGGATGCGGTGCTGATGAGGATGCGGTGCTGATGCGGTGCTGATGAGGACGCGGTGCTGATGCGGTGCTGATGAGGACGCGGTGCTGATGAGGACGCGGTGCTGATGAGGACGCGGTGCTGATGCGGACGCGGTGCTGATGAGGACGCGGTGCTGATGAGGACGCGGTGCTGATGAGGACAGGGTGCTGATGCGGTGCTGATGAGGATGCGGTGCTGATGAGGATGCGGTGCTGATGAGGATGCGGTGCTGATGAGGATGCGGTGCTGATGAGGACGCGGTGCTGATGAGGACGCGGTGCTGATGCGGTGCTGATGAGGATGCGGTGCTGATGAGGACGCGGTGCTGATGAGGACGCGGTGCTGATGCGGACGCGGTGCTGATGAGGATGCGGTGCTGATGAGGACGCGGTGCTGATGAGGACAGGGTGCTGATGCGGTGCTGATGAGGATGCGGTGCTGATGAGGATGCGGTGCTGATGAGGATGCGGTGCTGATGAGGACGCGGTGCTGATGAGGACGCGGTGCTGATGAGGACGCGGTGCTGATGCGGTGCTGATGAGGATGCGGTGCTGATGAGGATGCGGTGCTGATGCGGTGCTGATGAGGACGCGGTGCTGATGCGGTGCTGATGAGGACGCGGTGCTGATGAGGACGCGGTGCTGATGAGGACGCGGTGCTGATGAGGACGCGGTGCTGATGAGGACGCGGTGCTGATGAGGACGCGGTGCTGATGCGGTGCTGATGAGGACGCGGTGCTGATGAGGACGCGGGTGCTGATGCGGTGCTGATGAGGACGCGGTGCTGATGAGGACGATGAGGACACGGTGCTGATGAGGACGCGGTCCCGATGAGGACGCGGTGCTGATGAGGACAGGGTGCTGATGAGGACGCGGTGCTGATGAGGACGCGGTGCTGATGCGGTGCTGATGAGGACGCGGTGCTGATGAGGACGCGGTGCTGATGAGGACAGGGTGCTGATGAGGACGCGGTGCTGATGCGGTGCTGATGAGGACAGGGTGCTGATGAGGACGCGGTGCTGATGAGGACGCGGTGCTGATGAGGACGCGGTGCTGATGAGGACAGGGTGCTGATGAGGACGCGGTGCCGATGAGGACAGGGTGCTGATGAGGACGCGGTGCCGATGAGGACAGGGTGCTGATGAGGACGCGGTGCCGATGAGGACAGGGTGCCGATGAGGACGCGGTGCCGATGAGGACGCGGTGCTGATGAGGACAGGGTGCTGATGAGGACGCGGTGCTGATGAGGACGCGGTGCTGATGCGGTGCTGATGAGGACGCGGTGCTGATGAGGACGCGGTGCTGATGAGGACAGGGTGCTGATGAGGACGCGGTGCTGATGCGGTGCTGATGAGGACAGGGTGCTGATGAGGACGTGGTGCTGATGAGGACGCGGTGCCGATGAGGACGCGGTGCTGATGAGGACGCGGTGCTGATGAGGACGCGGTGCTGATGAGGACGCGGTGCTGATGAGGACGCGGTGCTGATGCGGTGCTGATGAGGACGCGGTGCTGATGCGGTGCTGATGAGGACGCGGTGCTGATGAGGACAGGGTGCTGATGAGGACGCGGTGCTGATGAGGACAGGGTGCTGATGAGGACGCGGTGCCGATGAGGACAGGGTGCTGATGAGGACGCGGTGCCGATGAGGACAGGGTGCTGATGAGGACGCGGTGCCGATGAGGACGCGGTGCTGATGAGGACGCGGTGCTGATGAGGACGCGGTGCTGATGAGGACGCGGTGCTGATGCGGTGCTGATGAGGACGCGGTGCTGATGAGGACGCGGTGCTGATGAGGACGCGGTGCTGATGAGGACAGGGTGCTGATGAGGACACGGTGCTGATGAGGACAGGGTGCTGATGAGGACGCGGTGCTGATGAGGACAGGGTGCCGATGAGGACGCGGTGCCGATGAGGACAGGGTGCTGATGAGGACGCGGTGCCGATGAGGACGCGGTGCTGATGAGGACAGGGTGCTGATGAGGACGCGGTGCTGATGAGGACGCGGTGCTGATGCGGTGCTGATGAGGACGCGGTGCTGATGAGGACGCGGTGCTGATGAGGACAGGGTGCTGATGAGGACGCGGTGCTGATGCGGTGCTGATGAGGACTCGTTGCTGATGAGGACGCGTTGCTGATGAGGACCTCGGTGCTGATGAGGACGCGGTGCTGATGCGGACGCGGTGCTGATGAGGATGCGGTGCTGATGAGGACGCGGTGCTGATGAGGACAGGGTGCTGATGCGGTGCTGATGAGGATGCGGTGCTGATGAGGATGCGGTGCTGATGAGGATGCGGTGCTGATGAGGACGCGGTGCTGATGAGGACGCGGTGCTGATGCGGTGCTGATGAGGATGCGGTGCTGATGAGGATGCGGTGCTGATGAGGACGCGGTGCTGATGCGGACGCGGTGCTGATGAGGACGCGGTGCTGATGAGGACGCGGTGCTGATGAGGACAGGGTGCTGATGCGGTGCTGATGAGGATGCGGTGCTGATGAGGATGCGGTGCTGATGAGGATGCGGTGCTGATGAGGACGCGGTGCTGATGAGGACGCGGTGCTGATGCGGTGCTGATGAGGATGCGGTGCTGATGAGGATGCGGTGCTGATGCGGTGCTGATGAGGACGCGGTGCTGATGCGGTGCTGATGAGGACGCGGTGCTGATGAGGACGCGGTGCTGATGAGGACGCGGTGCTGATGAGGACGCGGTGCTGATGAGGACGCGGTGCTGATGAGGACGCGGTGCTGATGCGGTGCTGATGAGGACGCGGTGCTGATGAGGACGCGGTGCTGATGCGGTGCTGATGAGGACGCGGTGCTGATGAGGACGCGGTGCTGATGAGGACGCGGTGCTGATGAGGACGCAGTGCTGATGCAGTGCTGATGAGGATGCGGTGCTGATGAGGACGCGGTGCTGATGCGGTGCTGATGAGGACGCGGTGCTGATGAGGACGCGGTGCTGATGAGGACGCGGTGCTGATGAGGACGCGGTGCTGATGAGGACGCGGTGCTGATGCGATGCTGATGCGGTGCTGATGAGGATGCGGTGCTGATGAGGATGCGGTGCTGATGAGGATGCGGTGCTGATGCGGATGCGGTGCTGATGAGGACGCGGTGCTGATGAGGACGCGGTGCTGATGCGGATGCGGTGCTGATGAGGATGCGGTTCTGATGAGGATGCGGTGCTGATGAGGACGCGGTGCTGATGAGGATGCGGTGCTGATGAGGATGCGGTGCTGATGAGGATGCGGTGCTGATGAGGATGCGGTGCTGATGAGGATGCGGTGCTGATGAGGACGCGGTGCTGATGAGGATGCGGTGCTGATGAGGACGCGGTGCTGATGAGGATGCGGTGCTGATGAGGATGCGGTGCTGATGAGGATGCGGTGCTGATGCGGACGCGGTGCTGATGCGGATGCGGTGCTGATGAGGATGCGGTGCTGATGCGGACGCGGTGCTGATGAGGACGCGGTGCTGATGAGGATGCGGTGCTGATGAGGATGCGGTGCTGATGAGGATGCGGTGCTGATGCGGACGCGGTGCTGATGCGGATGCGGTGCTGATGAGGATGCGGTGCTGATGCGGACGCGGTGCTGATGCGGATGCGGTGCTGATGAGGATGCGGTGCTGATGAGGACGCGGTGCTGATGAGGACGCGGTGCTGATGAGGATGCGGTGCTGATGAGGACGCGGTGCTGATGAGGACGCGGTGCTGATGCGGATGCGGTGCTGATGAGGACGCGGTGCTGATGCGGACGCGGTGCTGATGCGGATGCGGTGCTGATGAGGACGCGGTGCTGATGAGGACGCGGTGCTGATGAGGATGCGGTGCTGATGAGGATGCGGTGCTGATGCGGACGCGGTGCTGATGCGGATGCGGTGCTGATGAGGACGCGGTGCTGATGCGGACGCGGTGCTGATGCGGATGCGGTGCTGATGAGGATGCGGTGCTGATGCGGACGCGGTGCTGATGAGGACGCGGTGCTGATGAGGATGCGGTGCTGATGAGGATGCGGTGCTGATGAGGATGCGGTGCTGATGCGGACGCGGTGCTGATGCGGATGCGGTGCTGATGAGGATGCGGTGCTGATGCGGACGCGGTGCTGATGCGGATGCGGTGCTGATGAGGATGCGGTGCTGATGAGGACGCGGTGCTGATGAGGACTCGGTGCTGATGAGGATGCGCGTGCTGATGAGGACGCGGTGCTGATGAGGAGAGAAACTGATGAGGATGCGGTGCTGATGAGGACGCGGCGCAGATGAGGATGCGGTGCTGATGAGGATGCGGTGCTGATGCGGATGCGGTGCTGATGAGGACGCGGTGCTGATGAGGACGCGGTGCTGATGAGGATGCGGTGCTGATGAGGATGCGGTGCTGATGAGGATGCGGTGCTGATGAGGATGCGGTGCTGATGAGGATGCGGTGCTGATGCGGATGCGGTGCTGATGAGGACGCGGTGCTGATGAGGACGCGGTGCTGATGAGGATGCGGTGCTGATGAGGATGCGGCCTGATGAGGATGCGGTGCTGATGAGGATGCGGTGCTGATGCGGACGCGGTGCTGATGAGGATGCGGTGCTGATGAGGACGCGGTGCTGATGAGGACAGGGTGCTGATGCGGTGCTGATGAGGATGCGGTGCTGATGAGGATGCGGTGCTGATGAGGATGCGGTGCTGATGAGGATGCGGTGCTGATGAGGACGCGGTGCTGATGAGGACGCGGTGCTGATGCGGTGCTGATGAGGATGCGGTGCTGATGAGGATGCGGTGCTGATGCGGTGCTGATGAGGACGCGGTGCTGATGCGGTGCTGATGAGGACGCGGTGCTGATGAGGACGCGGTGCTGATGAGGACGCGGTGCTGATGAGGACGCGGTGCTGATGAGGATGCGGTGCTGATGCGGTGCTGATGAGGATGCGGTGCTGATGAGGACGCGGTGCTGATGAGGACGCGGTGCTGATGAGGACGCGGTGCTGATGCGGTGCTGATGAGGATGCGGTGCTGATGAGGACGCGGTGCTGATGCGGTGCTGATGAGGACGCGGTGCTGATGAGGACGCGGTGCTGATGAGGACGCGGTGCTGATGAGGACGCGGTGCTGATGCAGTGCTGATGAGGATGCGGTGCTGATGAGGACGCGGTGCTGATGCGGTGCTGATGAGGACGCGGTGCTGATGAGGACGCGGTGCTGATGAGGACGCGGTGCTGATGAGGACGCGGTGCTGAGGACGCGGTGCTGATGCGATGCTGATGCGGTGCTGATGAGGTTCGGTGCTGATGAGGATGCGGTGCTGATGAGGATGCGGTGCTGATTTATCGTGCTGATGAGGACCCGGTGCTGATGCGGACCCGATGCTGATGCGGACCCGATGCTGATGCGGTTCCGATGCTGACGCGGTCCTGATGCGGACGCGGTGCTGATGAGGATGCGGTGCTGATGAGGACGCGGTGCTGATGCGGTCATGATGAGGATGCGGTGCTGATGCGGATGCGATGCTGATGCGGATCCGATGCTGATGCGGATCCGATGCTGACGCGGTCCTGATGCTGACGCGGTTCTGATGAGGACGCGGTGCTGATGAGGATGCGGTGCTGATGAGGATGCGGTGCTGATGAGGATGCGGTGCTGATGAGGATGCGGTGCTGATGAGGATGCGGTGCTGATGAGGACGCGGTGCTGATGAGGATGCGGTGCTGATGAGGACGCGGTGCTGATGAGGACGCGGTGCTGATGAGGATGCGGTGCTGATGAGGACGCGGTGCTGATGAGGATGCGGTGCTGATGCGGATGCGGTGCTGATGAGGATGCGGTGCTGATGCGGACGCGGTGCTGATGCGGATGCGGTGCTGATGAGGATGCGGTGCTGATGCGGACGCGGTGCTGATGAGGACGCGGTGCTGATGAGGATGCGGTGCTGATGAGGATGCGGTGCTGATGCGGATGCGGTGCTGATGCGGATGCGATGCTGATGCGGATGCGGTGCTGATGAGGATACGGGGCTGATGAGGATGCGATGCTGATGAGGATGCCGTGCTGATGAGGACCCGATGCTGATGCGGTCGCGATGCTGATGAGGATCCGGTGCTGATGAGGACCCGGTGCTGATGAGGACAGGGTGCTGATGCCGGTGCTGATGAGGATGCGGTGCTGATGAGGATGCGGTGCTGATGAGGATGCGGTGCTGATGAGGATGCGGTGCTGATGAGGACGCGGTGCTGATGAGGACGCGGTGCTGATGCGGTGCTGATGAGGATGCGGTGCTGATGAGGATGCGGTGCTGATGAGGACGCGGTGCTGATGCGGACGCGGTGCTGATGAGGATGCGGTGCTGATGAGGACGCGGTGCTGATGAGGACAGGGTGCTGATGCGGTGCTGATGAGGATGCGGTGCTGATGAGGATGCGGTGCTGATGAGGATGCGGTGCTGATGAGGACGCGGTGCTGATGAGGACGCGGTGCTGATGAGGACGCGGTGCTGATGCGGTGCTGATGAGGATGCGGTGCTGATGAGGATGCGGTGCTGATGCGGTGCTGATGAGGACGCGGTGCTGATGCGGTGCTGATGAGGACGCGGTGCTGATGAGGACGCGGTGCTGATGAGGACGCGGTGCTGATGAGGACGCGGTGCTGATGAGGACGCGGTGCTGATGAGGATGCGGTGCTGATGAGGATGCGGTGCTGATGAGGATGCGGTGCTGATGAGGACGCGGTGCTGATGAGGACGCGGTGCTGATGCGGTGCTGATGAGGATGCGGTGCTGATGAGGACGCGGTGCTGATGAGGACGCGGTGCTGATGCGGACGCGGTGCTGATGAGGATGCGGTGCTGATGAGGACGCGGTGCTGATGAGGACAGGGTGCTGATGCGGTGCTGATGAGGATGCGGTGCTGATGAGGATGCGGTGCTGATGAGGATGCGGTGCTGATGAGGACGCGGTGCTGATGAGGACGCGGTGCTGATGAGGACGCAGTGCTGATGCAGTGCTGATGAGGATGCGGTGCTGATGAGGACGCGGTGCTGATGCGGTGCTGATGAGGACGCGGTGCTGATGAGGACGCGGTGCTGATGAGGACGCGGTGCTGATGAGGACGCCTTGCTGATGAGGACGCGGTGCTGATGCGATGCTGATGCGGTGCTGATGAGGATGCGGTGCTGATGAGGATGCGGTGCTGATGAGGATGCGGTGCTGATGAGGATGCGGTGCTGATGAGGACGCGGTGCTGATGAGGTCTCGGTGCTGATGCGGTGCTGATGAGGATGCGGTGCTGATGAGGATGCGTTGTTGATGCGGTGCTGATGCGGTGCTGATGAGGATGCGGTGCTGATGAGGACGCGGTGCTGATGCGGACGCGGTGCCGAAGAGGATGCGGTGCTGATGAGGACGCGGTGCTGATGAGGACGGGGTGCTGATGCGGTGCTGATGAGGATGCGGTGCTGATGAGGATGTGTTGTTGCTTTGATGCGGTGCTGATGAGGACGCGGTGCTGATGAGGACAGGGTGCTGATGAGGTCGCGGTGCTGATGCGGTGCTGATGAGGACGCGGTGCTGATGAGGACGCGGTGCTGATGAGGACGCGGTGCTGATGAGGACGCGGTGCTGATGCGGTGCTGATGAGGACGCGGTGCTGATGCGGTGCTGATGAGGACGCGGTGCTGATGAGGACGCGGTGCTGATGACGCGGTGCTGATGAGGACAGGGTGCTGATGAGGACACGGTGCTGATGAGGACAGGGTGCCGATGAGGACGCGGTGCCGATGAGGACAGGGTGCCGATGAGGACGCGGTGCCGATGAGGACAGGGTGCCGATGAGGACGCGGTGCCGATGAGGACGCGGTGCTGATGAGGACGCGGTGCTGATGAGGACGCGGTGCTGATGAGGACGCGGTGCTGATGCGGTGCTGATGAGGACGCGGTGCTGATGCGGTGCTGATGAGGATGCGGTGCTGATGAGGACGCGGTGCTGATGAGGACGCGGTGCTGATGAGGACAGGGTGCTGATGAGGACGCGGTGCTGATGCGGTGCTGATGTGGACGCGGTCCTGATGAGGACGCGGTGCTGATGAGGACGCGGTGCTGATGAGGACGCGGTGCTGATGCGGTGCTGATGAGGACGCGGTGCTGATGCGGTGCTGATGAGGACGCGGTGCTGATGAGGACGCGGTGCTGATGAGGACGCGGTGCTGATGAGGACAGGGTGCTGATGAGGACACGGTGCTGATGAGGACAGGGTGCTGATGAGGACCCGGTGCTGATGAGGACAGGGGTGCTGATGAGAATGCGGTGCTGATGAGGATGCGGTGCTGATGAGGACGCGGTGCTGATGAGGACGCGGTGCTGATGAGGACGCGGTGCTGATGCGGTGCTGATGAGGATCCGGTGCTGATGAGGATCCGATGCGGATGCGGTGCTGATGAGGACGCGGTGCTGATGAGGATGCGGTGCTGATGAGGACGCGGTGCTGATGAGGACGCGGTGCTGATGCGGTGCTGATGAGGATGCGGTGCTGATGAGGATGCGGTGCTGATGCGGATGCGGTGCTGATGAGGACGCGGTGCTGATGCGGTGCTGATGAGGATGCGGTGCTGATGAGGATGCGGTGCTGATGAGGACGCGGTGCTGATGCGGACGCGGTGCTGATGAGGATGCGGTGCTGATGAGGACGCGGTGCTGATGAGGACAGGGTGCTGATGCGGTGCTGATGAGGATGCGGTGCTGATGAGGATGCGGTGCTGATGAGGATGCGGTGCTGATGAGGACGCGGTGCTGATGAGGACGCGGTGCTGATGAGGACGCGGTGCTGATGCGGTGCTGATGAGGATGCGGTGCTGATGAGGATGCGGTGCTGATGAGGATGCGGTGCTGATGAGGATGCGGTGCTGATGAGGACGCGGTGCTGATGAGGACGCGGTGCTGATGCGGTGCTGATGAGGATGCGGTGCTGATGAGGATGCGGTGCTGATGCGGTGCTGATGAGGACGCGGTGCTGATGAGGATGCGGTGCTGATGAGGACGCGGTGCTGATGAGGACGCGGTGCTGATGCGGTGCTGATGAGGATGCGGTGCTGATGAGGATGCGGTGCTGATGCGGTGCTGATGAGGACGCGGTGCTGATGCGGTGCTGATGAGGACGCGGTGCTGATGAGGACGCGGTGCTGATGAGGACGCGGTGCTGATGCGGACGCGGTGCTGATGAGGATGCGGTGCTGATGAGGACGCGGTGCTGATGAGGACAGGGTGCTGATGCGGTGCTGATGAGGATGCGGTGCTGATGAGGATGCGGTGCTGATGAGGATGCGGTGCTGATGAGGACGCGGTGCTGATGAGGACGCGGTGCTGATGCGGTGCTGATGAGGATGCGGTGCTGATGAGGGATTCCGGTGCTGATGAGGATTCGGTGCTGATGCGGACGCGGTGCTGATGAGGACCGGGGTGCTGATGCGGTGCTGATGAGGATGCGGTGCTGATGAGGATGCGGTGCTGATGAGGATGCGGTGCTGATGAGGATGCGGTGCTGATGAGGACGCGGTGCTGATGCGGACGCGGTGCTGATGAGGATGCGGTGCTGATGAGGACGCGGTGCTGATGAGGACAGGGTGCTGATGCGGTGCTGATGAGGATGCGGTGCTGATGAGGATGCGGTGCTGATGAGGATGCGGTGCTGATGAGGATGCGGTGCTGATGAGGACGCGGTGCTGATGAGGACGCGGTGCTGATGAGGATGCGGTGCTGATGAGGATGCGGTGCTGATGAGGATGCGATCGGATGCGGTCTGATGAGGACGCGGTGCTGATGCGGACGCGGTGCTGATGAGGATGCGTTGCTGATGCGGATGCGGTGCTGATGAGGATGCGGTTCTGATGAGGACGCGGTGCTGATGAGGATGCGGTGCTCATGAGGACTCGGTCCTGATGAGGACACGGTGTAGATGATGATCCTGTGCTGATGCGGATGCGGTGCTGATGAGGACGCGGTCATGATGAGGACGCGGTGCTGATGAGGATGCGGTGCTGATGAGGATGCGGTGCTGATGAGGATGCGGTGCTGATGAGGATGCGGTGCTGATGAGGACGCGGTTCTGACGCGG
Organism: Homo sapiens; assembly: GCF_000001405.40. Lineage (NCBI taxonomy): Eukaryota > Metazoa > Chordata > Mammalia > Primates > Hominidae > Homo > Homo sapiens. Next base: position 65,506 of record NW_004166862.2, read on the forward strand.
ACGCGGTGCTGATGAGGACGCGGTGCTGATGAGGACGCGGTGCTGATGAGGATGCGGTGCTGATGAGGATGCGGTGCTGATGAGGATGCGGTGCTGATGCGGATGCGGTGCTGATGCGGATGCGGTGCTGATGAGGACGCGGTGCTGATGAGGACGCGGTGCTGATGAGGATGCGGTGCTGATGAGGATGCGGTGCTGATGCGGATGCGGTGCTGATGCGGATGCGGTGCTGATGAGGACGCGGTGCTGATGCGGACGCGGTGCTGATGCGGATGCGGTGCTGATGAGGACGCGGTGCTGATGAGGACGCGGTGCTGATGAGGATGCGGTGCTGATGAGGATGCGGTGCTGATGCGGACGCGGTGCTGATGCGGATGCGGTGCTGATGAGGACGCGGTGCTGATGCGGACGCGGTGCTGATGCGGATGCGGTGCTGATGAGGATGCGGTGCTGATGCGGACGCGGTGCTGATGAGGACGCGGTGCTGATGAGGATGCGGTGCTGATGAGGATGCGGTGCTGATGAGGATGCGGTGCTGATGCGGACGCGGTGCTGATGCGGATGCGGTGCTGATGAGGATGCGGTGCTGATGCGGACGCGGTGCTGATGCGGATGCCGGTGCTGATGAGGATGCGGTGCTGATGAGGACGCGGTGCCGAAGAGGACGCGGTGCTGATGAGGATGCGGTTCTGATGAGGACGCGGTGCTGATGAGGACGCGGTGCTGATGAGGACGCGGTGCTGATGAGGGACGCGGTGCTGATGCGGTGCTGATGAGGATGCGGTGCTGATGAGGACGCGGTGCTGATGAGGACGCGGTGCTGATGCGGACGCGGTGCTGATGAGGATGCGGTGCTGATGAGGACGCGGTGCTGATGAGGACAGGGTGCTGATGCGGTGCTGATGAGGATGCGGTGCTGATGAGGATGCGGTGCTGATGAGGATGCGGTGCTGATGAGGACGCGGTGCTGATGAGGACGCGGTGCTGATGCGGTGCTGATGAGGATGCGGTGCTGATGAGGATGCGGTGCTGATGCGGTGCTGATGAGGACGCGGTGCTGATGCGGTGCTGATGAGGACGCGGTGCTGATGAGGACGCGGTGCTGATGAGGACGCGGTGCTGATGAGGATGCGGTGCTGATGAGGACGCGGTGCTGATGAGGATGCGGTGCTGATGAGGACGCGGTGCTGATGAGGACGCGGTGCTGATGAGGACGCGGTGCTGATGCGGTGCTGATGAGGATGCGGTGCTGATGAGGACGCGGTGCTGATGCGGTGCTGATGAGGACGCGGTGCTGATGAGGACGCGGTGCTGATGAGGACGCGGTGCTGATGAGGACGCGGTGCTGATGCGGTGCTGATGAGGATGCGATGCTGATGAGGGCGCGGGTGCTGATGCGGTGCTGATGATGACGCGGTGCTGATGAGGACCGCGGTGCTGATGAGGACGCGGTGCTGATGAGGACGCGGCGCTGATGCGATGCTGATGCGGTGCTGATGAGGATGCGGTGCTGATGAGGATGCGGTGCTGATGAGGTTGCGGTGCTGATGAGGATGCGGTGCTGATGAGGACGCGGTGCTGATGCGGTGCTGATGAGGATGCGGTGCTGATGAGGATGCGGTGCTGATGCGGTGCTGATGCGGTGCTGATGAGGATGCGGTGCTGATGAGGATGCGGTGCTGATGCGGTGCTGATGCGGTGCTGATGAGGACGCGGTGCTGATGCGGTGCTGATGAGGATGCGGTGCTGATGAGGATGCGGTGCTGATGCGGTGCTGATGCGGTGCTGATGAGGATGCGGTGCTGATGAGGATGCGGTGCTGATGCGGTGCTGATGCGGTGCTGATGAGGATGCGGTGCTGATGAGGATGCGGTGCTGATGAGGATGCGGTGCTGATGAGGACGCGGTGCTGATGAGGACGCGGTGCTGATGAGGACGCAGTGCTGATGAGGACGCGGTGCTGATGCGGTGCTGATGAGGACGCGGTGCTGATGAGGACGCGGTGCTGATGAGGACGCGGTGCTGATGCGGTGCTGATGAGGACGCGGTGCTGATGCGGTGCTGATGAGGACGCGGGGCTGATGAAGACGCGGTTCTGATGCGGACCCAATGCTGATGCCGTTCTGATGAGGATGCGGTTCTGATGAGGACCCGGTGCTGATGCGGTTCTGATGAGGACCCGTTCTGATGAGGACCCGGTGCTGATGAGGACCCGGTGCTGATGAGGACCCGGTGTCTGATGAGGACGCGGTGCTGATGCGATGCTGATGCGGTGCTGATGAGGATGCGGTGCTGATGAGGATGCGGTGCTGATGAGGATGCGGTGCTGATGAGGACGCGGTGCTGATGAGGTCGCGGTGCTGATCGGTGCTGATGAGGTCTCCGGTGCTGATGCGGACGCGATGCTGATGCGGTGCTGATGAGGATGCGGTGCTGATGAGGATGCGGTGCTGAAGCGGTGCGGTGCTGATGAGGATCCGGTGCTGATGCGGTGCTGATGAGGACGCGGTGCTGATGCGGTGCTGATGAGGACGCGGTGCTGATGAGGACGCGGTGCTGATGAGGACGCGGTGCTGATGAGGATGCGGTGCTGATGAGGACGCGGTGCTGATGAGGACGCGGTGCTGATGAGGACGCGGTGCTGATGAGGACGCAGTGCTGATGCAGTGCTGATGAGGATGCGGTGCTGATGAGGACGCGGTGCTGATGCGGTGCTGATGAGGACGCGGTGCTGATGAGGACGCGGTGCTGATGAGGACGCGGTGCTGATGAGGACGCGGTGCTGATGAGGACGCGGTGCTGATGCGATGCTGATGCGGTGCTGATGAGGATGCGGTGCTGATGAGGATGCGGTGCTGATGAGGATGCGGTGCTGATGAGGACGCGGTGCTGATGAGGACGCGGTGCTGATGCGGTGCTGATGAGGATGCGGTGCTGATGAGGATGCGGTGCTGATGAGGACGCGGTGCTGATGCGGACGCGGTGCTGATGAGGACGCGGTGCTGATGAGGACGCGGTGCTGATGAGGACAGGGTGCTGATGCGGTGCTGATGAGGACGCGGTGCTGATGAGGACGCGGTGCTGATGAGGACGCAGTGCTGATGCACTGCTGATGAGGATGCTGTGCTGATGAGGACGCGGTGCTGATGCGGTGCTGATGCGGATCCGATGCCGATCCGGTCCCGATGCGGATCCGATCCTGATGCGGATCCGATGCTGATGCGGATCCGGTGCTGATGCGGTTCTGATCGGATGCGGATCCGATCGGATGCGGATCCGGTGCTGATGCGGATGCGGTTCTGATGCGGTCCGGATGCTGATGCGGTGCTGATGCTGATGCGGTGCTGATGAGGATGCGGTGCTGATGAGGATGCGGTGCTGATGAGGACGCGGTGCTGATGAGGACGCGGTGCTGATGAGGACGCGATGCTGATGCGGTGCTGATGAGGATGCGGTGCTGATGAGGATGCGGTGCTGATGCGGTGCTGATGAGGACGCGGTGCTGATGCGGTGCTGATGAGGACGCGGTGCTGATGAGGACGCGGTGCTGATGAGGACGCGGTGCTGATGAGGATGCGGTGCTGATGAGGACGCGGTGCTGATGAGGATGCGGTGCTGATGAGGACGCGGTGCTGATGAGGACGCGGTGCTGATGAGGACGCGGTGCTGATGCGGTGCTGATGAGGATGCGGTGCTGATGAGGACGCGGTGCTGATGCGGTGCTGATGAGGACGCGGTGCTGATGAGGACGCGGTGCTGATGAGGACGCGGTGCTGATGAGGACGCGGTGCTGATGCAGTGCTGATGAGGATGCGGTGCTGATGAGGACGCGGTGCTGATGCGGTGCTGATGAGGACGCGGTGCTGATGAGGACGCGGTGCTGATGAGGACGCGGTGCTGATGAGGACGCGGTGCTGATGCGATGCTGATGCGGTGCTGATGAGGATGCGGTGCTGATGAGGATGCGGTGCTGATGAGGATGCGGTGCTGATGAGGATGCGGTGCTGATGAGGACGCGGTGCTGATGCGGTGCTGATGAGGATGCGGTGCTGATGAGGATGCGGTGCTGATGCGGTGCTGATGCGGTGCTGATGAGGATGCGGTGCTGATGAGGATGCGGTGCTGATGCGGTGCTGATGCGGTGCTGATGAGGACGCGGTGCTGATGCGGTGCTGATGAGGATGCGGTGCTGATGAGGATGCGGTGCTGATGCGGTGCTGATGCGGTGCTGATGAGGATGCGGTGCTGATGAGGATGCGGTGCTGATGCGGTGCTGATGCGGTGCTGATGAGGATGCGGTGCTGATGAGGATGCGGTGCTGATGAGGATGCGGTGCTGATGAGGACGCGGTGCTGATGAGGACGCGGTGCTGATGAGGACGCAGTGCTGATGAGGACGCGGTGCTGATGCGGTGCTGATGAGGACGCGGTGCTGATGAGGACGCGGTGCTGATGAGGACGCGGTGCTGATGCGGTGCTGATGAGGACGCGGTGCTGATGCGGTGCTGATGAGGACGCGGTGCTGATGAGGACGCGGTGCTGATGAGGACGCGGTGCTGATGAGGACGCGGTGCTGATGCGGTGCTGATGAGGACGCGGTGCTGATGCGGTGCTGATGAGGACGCGGTGCTGATGAGGACAGGGTGCTGATGAGGACGCGGTGCTGATGAGGACAGGGTGCTGATGAGGACGCGGTGCCGATGAGGACAGGGTGCTGATGAGGACGCGGTGCCGATGAGGACAGGGTGCTGATGAGGACGCGGTGCCGATGAGGACGCGGTGCTGATGAGGACAGGGTGCTGATGAGGACGCGGTGCTGATGAGGACGCGGTGCTGATGCGGTGCTGATGAGGACGCGGTGCTGATGAGGACACGGTGCTGATGAGGACAGGGTGCTGATGAGGACGCGGTGCTGATGCGGTGCTGATGAGGACAGGGTGCTGATGAGGACGCGGTGCCGATGAGGACGCGGTGCCGATGAGGACGCGGTGCCGATGAGGACGCGGTGCTGATGAGGACGCGGTGCTGATGACGCGGTGCCGATGAGGACAGGGTGCTGATGAGGACGCGGTGCCGATGAGGACGCGGTGCTGATGAGGACAGGGTGCTGATGAGGACGCGGTGCTGATGAGGACGCGGTGCTGATGCGGTGCTGATGAGGACGCGGTGCTGATGAGGACGCGGTGCTGATGAGGACAGGGTGCTGATGAGGACGCGGTGCCGATGAGGACGCGGTGCCGATGAGGACGCGGTGCCGATGAGGACGCGGTGCCGATGAGGACGCGGTGCTGATGACGCGGTGCCGATGAGGACGCGGTGCCGATGAGGACGCGGTGCCGATGAGGACGCGGTGCCGATGAGGACGCGGTGCTGATGCGGTGCTGATGAGGACGCGGTGCCGATGAGGACGCGGTGCCGATGAGGACGCGGTGCTGATGAGGACGCGGTGCTGATGAGGACGCGGTGCTGATGAGGACGCGGTGCTGATGAGGACGCGGTGCTGATGCGGTGCTGATGAGGACGCGGTGCTGATGCGGTGCTGATGAGGATGCGGTGCTGATGAGGACGCGGTGCTGATGAGGACGCGGTGCTGATGCGGATGCCGCGCTGATGAGGACGCGGTGCTGATGCGGTGCTGATGAGGACGCGGTGCTGATGAGGACGCGGTGCTGATGAGGACGCGGTGCTGATGAGGACGCGGTGCTGATGCGGTGCTGATGAGGACGCGGTGCTGATGCGGTGCTGATGAGGACGCGGTGCTGATGAGGACAGGGTGCTGATGAGGACGCGGTGCTGATGAGGACAGGGTGCTGATGAGGACGCGGTGCCGATGAGGACAGGGTGCTGATGAGGACGCGGTGCCGATGAGGACAGGGTGCTGATGAGGACGCGGTGCCGATGAGGACGCGGTGCTGATGAGGACAGGGTGCTGATGAGGACGCGGTGCTGATGAGGACGCGGTGCTGATGCGGTGCTGATGAGGACGCGGTGCTGATGAGGACGCGGTGCTGATGAGGACAGGGTGCTGATGAGGACGCGGTGCTGATGCGGTGCTGATGAGGACAGGGTGCTGATGAGGACGCGGTGCTGATGAGGACGCGGTGCTGATGAGGACGCGGTGCTGATGAGGACAGGGTGCTGATGAGGACGCGGTGCCGATGAGGACAGGGTGCTGATGAGGACGCGGTGCCGATGAGGACAGGGTGCTGATGAGGACGCGGTGCCGATGAGGACAGGGTGCCGATGAGGACGCGGTGCCGATGAGGACGCGGTGCTGATGAGGACAGGGTGCTGATGAGGACGCGGTGCTGATGAGGACGCGGTGCTGATGCGGTGCTGATGAGGACGCGGTGCTGATGAGGACGCGGTGCTGATGAGGACAGGGTGCTGATGAGGACGCGGTGCTGATGCGGTGCTGATGAGGACAGGGTGCTGATGAGGACGTGGTGCCGATGACGTGGTGCCGATGAGGACGCGGTGCCGATGAGGACGCGGTGCCGATGAGGACGCGGTGCCGATGAGGACGCGGTGCTGATGACGCGGTGCCGATGAGGACAGGGTGCTGATGAGGACGCGGTGCCGATGAGGACGCGGTGCCGATGAGGACGCGGTGCTGATGAGGACGCGGTGCTGATGAGGACGCGGTGCTGATGAGGACAGGGTGCTGATGAGGACGCGGTGCTGATGCGGTGCTGATGAGGACGCGGTGCTGATGAGGACGCGGTGCTGATGAGGACGCGGTGCTGATGAGGACGCGGTGCTGATGCGGTGCTGATGAGGACGCGGTGCTGATGCGGTGCTGATGAGGACGCGGTGCTGATGAGGACGCGGTGCTGATGACGCGGTGCTGATGAGGACAGGGTGCTGATGAGGACACGGTGCTGATGAGGACAGGGTGCCGATGAGGACGCGGTGCCGATGAGGACAGGGTGCCGATGAGGACGCGGTGCCGATGAGGACAGGGTGCCGATGAGGACGCGGTGCCGATGAGGACGCGGTGCTGATGAGGACGCGGTGCTGATGAGGACGCGGTGCTGATGAGGACGCGGTGCTGATGCGGTGCTGATGAGGACGCGGTGCTGATGCGGTGCTGATGAGGATGCGGTGCTGATGAGGACGCGGTGCTGATGAGGACGCGGTGCTGATGAGGACAGGGTGCTGATGAGGACGCGGTGCTGATGCGGTGCTGATGTGGACGCGGTCCTGATGAGGACGCGGTGCTGATGAGGACGCGGTGCTGATGAGGACGCGGTGCTGATGCGGTGCTGATGAGGACGCGGTGCTGATGCGGTGCTGATGAGGACGCGGTGCTGATGAGGACGCGGTGCTGATGAGGACGCGGTGCTGATGAGGACAGGGTGCTGATGAGGACACGGTGCTGATGAGGACAGGGTGCTGATGAGGACGCGGTGCTGATGAGGACAGGGTGCCGATGAGGACGCGGTGCCGATGAGGACAGGGTGCTGATGAGGACGCGGTGCCGATGAGGACGCGGTGCTGATGAGGACAGGGTGCTGATGAGGACGCGGTGCTGATGAGGACGCGGTGCTGATGCGGTGCTGATGAGGACGCGGTGCTGATGAGGACGCGGTGCTGATGAGGACAGGGTGCTGATGAGGACGCGGTGCTGATGCGGTGCTGATGAGGACGCGGTGCTGATGAGGAGCCGGTGCCTGATGCGGACGCGGTGCTGATGCGGATGCGGTGCTGATGAGGATGCGGTGCTGATGCGGACGCGGTGCTGATGAGGACGCGGTGCTGATGAGGATGCGGTGCTGATGAGGATGCGGTGCTGATGAGGATGCGGTGCTGATGCGGACGCGGTGCTGATGCGGATGCGGTGCTGATGAGGATGCGGTGCTGATGAGGATGCGGTGCTGATGAGGATGCGGTGCTGATGAGGATGCGGTGCTGATGAGGACGCGGTGCTGATGAGGACGGGGTGCTGATGCGGTGCTGATGAGGATGCGGTGCTGATGAGGATGCGGTGCTGATGAGGATGCGGTGCTGATGAGGATGCGGTGCTGATGAGGACGCGGTGCTGATGCGGACGCGGTGCTGATGAGGATGCGGTGCTGATGAGGACGCGGTGCTGATGAGGACAGGGTGCTGATGCGGTGCTGATGAGGATGCGGTGCTGATGAGGATGCGGTGCTGATGAGGATGCGGTGCTGATGAGGATGCGGTGCTGATGAGGACGCGGTGCTGATGAGGACGCGGTGCTGATGCGGTGCTGATGAGGATGCGGTGCTGATGAGGACGCGGTGCTGATGAGGACGCGGTGCTGATGAGGACAGGGTGCTGATGAGGACGCGGTGCTGATGCGGTGCTGATGTGGACGCGGTCCTGATGAGGACGCGGTGCTGATGAGGACGCGGTGCTGATGAGGACGCGGTGCTGATGCGGTGCTGATGAGGACGCGGTGCTGATGCGGTGCTGATGAGGACGCGGTGCTGATGAGGACGCGGTGCTGATGAGGACGCGGTGCTGATGAGGACAGGGTGCTGATGAGGACACGGTGCTGATGAGGACAGGGTGCTGATGAGGACGCGGTGCTGATGAGGACAGGGTGCCGATGAGGACGCGGTGCCGATGAGGACAGGGTGCTGATGAGGACGCGGTGCCGATGAGGACGCGGTGCTGATGAGGACAGGGTGCTGATGAGGACGCGGTGCTGATGAGGACGCGGTGCTGATGCGGTGCTGATGAGGACGCGGTGCTGATGAGGACGCGGTGCTGATGAGGACAGGGTGCTGATGAGGACGCGGTGCTGATGCGGTGCTGATGAGGACGCGGTGCTGATGAGGACGCGGTGCTGATGAGGACGCGGTGCTGATGAGGACGCGGTGCTGATGCGGTGCTGATGAGGACGCGGTGCTGATGAGGACGCGGTGCTGATGAGGACGCGGTGCTGATGAGGACGCGGTGCCGATGAGGACAGGGTGCTGATGAGGACGCGGTGCCGATGAGGACAGGGTGCTGATGAGGACGCGGTGCCGATGAGGACAGGGTGCTGATGAGGACGCGGTGCCGATGAGGACGCGGTGCTGATGAGGACAGGGTGCTGATGAGGACGCGGTGCTGATGAGGACGCGGTGCTGATGCGGTGCTGATGAGGACGCGGTGCTGATGAGGACACGGTGCTGATGAGGACAGGGTGCTGATGAGGACGCGGTGCTGATGCGGTGCTGATGAGGACAGGGTGCTGATGAGGACGCGGTGCCGATGAGGACGCGGTGCCGATGAGGACGCGGTGCCGATGAGGACGCGGTGCTGATGAGGACGCGGTGCTGATGACGCGGTGCCGATGAGGACAGGGTGCTGATGAGGACGCGGTGCCGATGAGGACGCGGTGCTGATGAGGACAGGGTGCTGATGAGGACGCGGTGCTGATGAGGACGCGGTGCTGATGCGGTGCTGATGAGGACGCGGTGCTGATGAGGACGCGGTGCTGATGAGGACAGGGTGCTGATGAGGACGCGGTGCCGATGAGGACGCGGTGCCGATGAGGACGCGGTGCCGATGAGGACGCGGTGCCGATGAGGACGCGGTGCTGATGACGCGGTGCCGATGAGGACGCGGTGCCGATGAGGACGCGGTGCCGATGAGGACGCGGTGCCGATGAGGACGCGGTGCTGATGCGGTGCTGATGAGGACGCGGTGCCGATGAGGACGCGGTGCCGATGAGGACGCGGTGCTGATGAGGACGCGGTGCTGATGACGCGGTGCCGATGAGGACGCGGTGCCGATGAGGACGCGGTGCCGATGAGGACGCGGTGCCGATGAGGACGCGGTGCCGATGAGGACGCGGTGCTGATGCGGTGCTGATGAGGACGCGGTGCTGATGAGGACGCGGTGCTGATGAGGACGCGGTGCTGATGAGGACGGCGAAGGTCAGGAAGTGCTAGTTCCGAGCGAGGAGGGAACAGGAGGTGAGCGGGCTGGGCTTTAGGGTGAGGCGAGGCTCATGAAGACTAAAGAGCCAGGGAGGCGCAGGAACCAGGGAGTCGAGGATCCAGGGCTCTGCCGAGGGGGCCTCAGCGGGGAGGCGTGAAGCCGAACAGAACGACAGGCAGAGGTGGAGGCTGATGCTGACTGTGTGCTGAAGCCGGCCCTGTGAAGTAGGCAGCCCCATCACTTGGTTCACGGACACGCAGTTCTCAAGGGCGTGCAACCTGCCAGGCGCTGCAGAGCGTCCGGGATGAAAACACTAACATGGATCACTCGCAGGTCCCCCTGGAGTCAGGAGGGATAACCCGGAAAGAGGCCCCTGTGGTGTGTGCCGCAGCCCACAGGGCAGTTCAGTGCCCAGCAGCACCAGGTGGCAGGAGGTGCCTAGGGCAGGCGCCCCTGTGCAGGACGCTGGGGGACACAAGGGGTTTGGCTGCAAGACAGGAGGGAGGGATGGGATGGGGACAGGAGAGAGGCACGGGGACAGGAGGGATGCGATGAGGGACCAGAGGGATGAAATGGGATTGGGGACGGGAGGGAGGGATGGGGACAGAAGGGAGGGAAATGGGATGGGAGGGATGGGATGGAGACAGACAGGAGGGAGGGATGGGGTACAGGAGGATCTCAGCTGGGGGACAGGAGGGATGAGACAGGGTAGTTGGGCTTCCAGAAAGGCCAAGGAGAGCTTCTCTGGAGTCTGTACAGAAGCAGGAAGCTCAGTGAGGACACCCCTGGGATCCTGCTGATGAGGGAGAAGAGAGCTTTACACTCAGGCCCAGGCTGTCCCCGCTGGCTGCTGTGGCGCTCGGCTCTGGGAGAGGCCCGTGCTGCTTTTCCTGCGCGACACCAGCAGGAGTGATGTGGAGGAGAGGCTGACAGGCTCAGAAAGTGAGGGACGGGCTCCATCCAAATCGATGGGCAGTGAAGATTGGCATGGTGCTGAGAGCCCAGGACAGCTGCACAGGGACCACACTGACCACGGCACCCACTCAGCATTTTCCCTCGTGGGCCAGGATGCTTATCCTCCTCTGAAGGGAACCCTGTCAGTGCTGACCATCTTTTACCAGGTATTGGAGGATGCTTAGCAAAATCCTTTGACCAAAGGCTCGACATTCACAGATTCTAGACGTTCCTATGAAAATACCTACTTATTTCCACTGGACTGAACTCTGATTAAAATAAAAACAAGGACACCAGGAAAGACTACACAAAGCCTGTATGCCCCATAGTTGCCTCGGAGAACCCAGGAATCATGCAGGTGGGCCTGGGGAAGCCCAATGTGTGTGACACCATGTGGGGCTGGCGCATCCCTGCTCTGACATGTGTGTATCCCTGCCGTGATGTGTGGGGCTGGCACGTCCCTGCTGTGACATGTGTGACACCACGTGGGGCCGGCGTGTCCCTGCTGTGACAAGTGTGACACCACGTGGGGGCCGGCGTGTCCCTGCTGTGATGTGTGTGACACCATGTGGGGCCGGCACGTCCCTGCTGTGACATGTGTGACACCACGTGGGGCCGGCGTGTCCCTGCTGTGACATGTGTGACACCACGTGGGGCCGGCGTGTCCCTGCTGTGACATGTGTGACACCACGTGGGGGCCGGCGTGTCCCTGCTGTGATGTGTGTGACACCACGTGGGGCCGGCGTGTCCCTGCTGTGACATGTGTGTATCCCTGCCGTGATGTGTGACACCATGTGAGGCCGGCGTGTCCCTGCTGTGACGTGTGTATCTCAGCCATGGTGTGCGACCCCACACGGGGGCTGGTGTGTCACTGCTATGACGTGTGTGACACCACGCGGGGGCCAGTGTGTCCCTGCTGTGACCTGTGCGACACCATGCAGGTGCTGGCATGTCCCAGCCATGTGTCAGGCCACTGCTGTCTGTCAGTATCACCCCAGAAGCTCAGCATGAAGACAGCATGGCTGCCTGAATTTATAGATGAGAAAATGAGGCTCAGCGTGGTGATCACCTTATGAAATCATGGGATACGATTTAAATGAGGGTTGGAGGAGGCATTTGAACAGTGTCACTGAGAACGTGGCATGACGCTGTGTCTGACCAGCAAATGCGAAGGTTTTATGTGGCTTGTGGACCCGTTTCAGGCTCTCCTGAGAGACGGTACCTGGGAGCAGTGGCCTGAAGCACCTCCTGGGGCCTCTAAGTCCCGTATCGAGTGGCCGGCGCCATGTCCCATCACTCAGGGTCTCCTTTAAGTGCCGAACTTCACTGAGTCTGCAGCACTGTGGATTCAAAGACAGTCTGTTATTTTATGTTCCACTAAGAAAGAAAATACACTGCCAAGTACACTAAAGCAGAATGCTTCTTTCTGATTTGGAAGTTTTATTTTATATTTATTTAAAGGGTTCTTTCAATGTATTTTGTGGAATATCTACATGTATATCTACATACATCTATCTATTTATACATAGACTTGTATTATATATTATTGTTTTGAAATCACAGGAAGGACAGTGAAAGCGAACAGTCTTGGTGAATTCGGGTTTCTATAACAAGCTACCATTAACCGGGTGGTTTATAAAAATCAGAAATTCATTTCCCATAGTTCTAGGGGCTGGAAGTCCAAGCCCAGGACAGCAGAATTATGGGGTTCTTGTGAGGCCCCTCTGCGAGGTTGCAAATGGCGCCTTCTCACTGTGTCTTTATGTGGTGGAGGGGAGAAGATCTCTGAGGTCCCTTTTGTAAGGGCGCTAACCCCATTCACCAGGGCTTCACTCTCATGACCCCATCACCTCCCCAAGACCCCACCTCCTCGCCCATTGATATGGGGTGAGGATTTTAGTATTGGGATTTGGGGGAACACAAACATGCAGACCATACCGTTGAGTGAATCCATTAGGGTATTACGAACACACATTTACATTCAGAGTACAATAGTGTCATGAATGCCCATGGCTTTCCAGGTAACCATGGCTATGGGCCCTGAAAGAGCGTTTAAGATCCAGTGTTTCTCAGCGGAGGAGCCGCCACTGCAGCTCCAACATCCTCCCCGCCACCGACGCCGGCTCTGTGAGTTTCAATGCTTCGGATTTCTCGTGCTAGAAGCAGGCATCCCTTTCAGCAATAGCGAGGAATCTGATGCCTTCCTGGTTTGGGCCTTGGAAGCTTTGCTGACTGCAACATCTACGGGTTGCACCTGTTCAGCCAGGCCACCAGGAATAACCCCCAAGAGCTGCCTGTCCAGCGAGCTACAGCAGACCTGGCGGAACAGTCTCCATACGGGAAATAAGAGGCCTTGCCTGTGAAGTGCACCCTAACACGTGGGGGACGATAAGAGATGGAAAATTGTGTATCCCAGGACCGAAGACGTATGGTCACTCAGGACCCACTAAAGCTGATATTTTATCAGGAGCAAAAATAGAAAATGAGACATTATTCCAATTGTATTTTATATAATACAAACTGCTGGGAACATGTGGGAACTTGCACATTTGGGATGTCCTCTGCCAGGTCTTTGGCCTTTTGTTTTTGGGGTGTATGTAAAATCTAAGTCATCATCGTTAGGGAACTGGACACCTCAGCCTCTCTCTATCTGGTTCTGTTGTCAAGAAAGCCGTGGAAAAGGTAAAATCTTAGGGCGTGAGGGGCCTGAGGGTTCCGTGAGTGAGGTGTGAATGAGCTGGTGCCTACACACATTGCTGGTGGTGAAGCAACAGCAAACAGTCACCTCGGGGGCTGTTCATCCTCCAGCAGTGACACTGTGACCCGTGACCACTGCACAGGGTTCCATGTAAGAAAAAGCATCCAGGCAGAGGCCCTGGTGAGCCGTTGGATAGTCAACATTCGCTTGGAGAAGTTTGCTACACTCAGGCCAGACCAACTGCTAGAAGCAACTGCCTGGCTACATTTTTGTTTTTATGTTTGGAAAGACAAAGGTAAAGCCGTGGGGAGCGAGATCGGTCTGGATAAGGCCCAGATCCTCAAGAACAGACCCCAGGAGTGTCAGGGGAGAAGGATGTGTGAGTTAACGTCGCTGTGATGCAAGCTGCCGTCTCATTCTGCACAAGGTGAAAAGGGCGGAGTGAATCACTGAAGCCACTTAGGAGCCTTTTGTCTGGGAAAAAACAAAATCGGTCTGTTCAGTAGACTGACCCTTGACAGTCTAGAGAGAAAATGTGTCTGCAGCTGCAGTATTCTGCGTGAGTTCCTCACACAGGGCTTCCCAATTAATGTTGCTGATTGACTGATCAAAAAACCATCTGGCACAGATGCTCTTACTGCACACTCGATGAGCGGCTGCTTCTTCCTCGCCCTTCCTCAGCCTGAGGAACTGCACAGAGCTTTCTTCTAGATTTGTTCTTTCGGAAGACAAGAAACCACCCTGTGGAGAGATGTCTATCCGATCACTGCACATCGTATTAGTCCATTCTCATGCTGCTATAAGGATATATCTAAGACTGGGTAATTTATAAATAAAAGAGGTGTAATTGACTCACAGTGCAGCATGGCTGGGGAAGCCTCAGGAAACTTAACAATCACGGCAGAAGGAGAAGCAAACACATCCTTCTTCACATGGCAGCAGCAAGGAGAAGGGCCAAAGCACTGAGCAAAATGGGAGAAAGCCCCTTATAAAACCATCAGATCTTGTGAGAACTCACTCACTATCATGAGAACAGCATGAGGGTCACCATTCCCATGATTAAATTATCCCCCCCCCACCTTCTCCCTCCCACAACACATGGGGATTATGGGAACTACAATTCAAGATGAGATTCGGGTGGGGACACAGCAAAACCATATCACACATAATAGAAAATATGTCTTAATTTACACTGGGACGTCTGTAGTGATTAAGTGTAGACACTTAACACTCACATATCACAGCAGCCATGAAATCTCATTGCACTGCACTGGCATTCACGGCGCCCTCATCATGTGCACATTTACCTAGGAGATGGCATTCACCTAGGAGATTAAATTTAGACAATCATGTCCGCAAAGGGAATGCCAATCATTTGGATGTGAGAAGGTGGGTTTTGTGCTGGAGATGTCCCTCCAGCCTAATTTTTAAATACAATCTGACAGGAAATTCAATGTATAAGTCTACGTGTGAAGGTCTGGGGCAGATGAAGCATACTTTCCTTTTCTTCAGTTCTCTGTAGCTTCTCCTTCAGGCCCTGCTGGGAGGGTGCAGCAGAGTGAAAACTATTGGTGTCCTGTGAAGAGAGTGGGAAACTTTGTTTCAGGTCCTTTAAGAAAGCACCAAGGATCCCCAGCTCTAGTTTCCCTCCAACTCTAAAATTCTAAGTACGGACTTTTTCGGAAGACAAAGACCAGACATTGGAAAACAAAAGACGTTAGAGATGAGGTGGGTAAAGACGTAATTGTTGTTTCTTATACTTGTTTACTGACAAATACGAAGTAAACAGTTGGTAAGAGGTGATTTCTCTAGACCTCTGCAAATATGGGATTTCACATTTAACAATCTCCTGCGCTCTTCGTATTCATGCAGTCACCCGTCAGCACATCTGCGCTGCTGGAAGAGCCAAAGCTGAAACGCCGGGTCTGCTGATGGTGCCGGGGTCCGGCTGTTTCTCTTGTCTACTGATGGTGCCGGGGGTCCGGCTGTTTCTCTTGTCTACTGATGGTGCCGGGGGTCCGGCTGTTTCTCTTGTCTACTGATGGTGCCGGGGGTCCGGCTGTTTCTCTTGTCTACTGATGGTGCCGGGGGTCCGGCTGTTTCTGTTGTCTACTGATGGTGCCGGGGGTCCGGCTGTTTCTGTTGTCTACTGATGGTGCCGGGGGTCCGGCTGTTTCTCTTGTCTACTGATGGTGCCGGGGGTCCGGCTGTTTCTGTTGTCTACTGATGGTGCCGGGGGTCCGGCTGTTTCTCTTGTCTACTGATGGTGCCGGGGTCCGGCTGTTTCTGTTGTCTATTGATGGTGCCGGGGGTCCGGCTGTTTCTGTTGTCTACTGATGGTGCCGGGGGCCAGCTGTTTCTCTTGTCTACTGATGGTGCCGGGGGTCCGGCTGTTTCTCTTGTCTACTGATGGTGCCGGGGGTCCGGCTGTTTCTCTTGTCTACTGATGGTGCCGGGGGTCTGGCTGTTTCTGTTGTACTACTGATGGTGCCGGGGGTCCGGCTGTTTCTGTTGTCTACTGATGGTGCCGGGGGTCCGGCTGTTTCTCTTGTCTACTGATGGTGCCGGGGGTCCGGCTGTTTCTCTTGTCTACTGATGGTGCCGGGGGTCCGGCTGTTTCTGTTGTCTACTGATGGTGCCGGGGGTCCGGCTGTTTCTGTTGTCTATTGATGGTGCCGGGGGCCAGCTGTTTCTCTTGTCTACTGATGGTGCCGGGGGTCTGGCTCTTTCTGTTGTCTACTGATGGTGCCGGGGGTCCGGCTGTTTCTGTTGTCTACTGATGGTGCCGGGGGTCCGGCTGTTTCTGTTGTCTACTGATGGTGCTGGGGGTCCGGCTGTTTCTGTTGTCTACTGATGGTGCCGGGGGTCCGGCTGTTTCTGTTGTCTACTGATGGTGCCGGGGTCCGGCTGTTTCTGTTGTCTACTGATGGTGCCGGGGGTCCGGCTGTTTCTGTTGTCTACTGATGGTGCCGGGGGTCCGGCTGTTTCTCTTGTCTACTGATGGTGCCGGGGGTCCGGCTGTTTCTGTTGTCTACTGATGGTGCCAGAGGTCTGGCTGTTTCTGTTGACTTCCTGTTTCTTCCCTTTGCAGCTCACCGATTTTCCAAAGTACGGACACCTGGTGTAGTTGCCCTCAGCTGTATTCAGACCTATTCAGAAACAGCTGCCTCTGACATGCTGAAATTTACCTTTTTATCCTAACATTTCAACTGCCGTTTTTAATTTTCAAAATAAACTGTGAGGTTTGATATTGTTCAGAGTTCACACAACAAGTCTTTCATCCTCATTAGAAATATCTCTTCAAGGCCAGAGCCTCTGTGGTTTCTCCTCCCTAACACAGACACTGAATGCCATAACTGTGTGTTTGGGAAAGCATCCTTTATAAGGGTTCCCTGTCTGTCAATTAAGAAAGTGGTTCCATGAAAACACATCCTTTGTTTTATGAGCAGAATCAGAGATTCCGGGGAGAAACAGGACCCAGGGAGATGAGAGCTTTCAGAGATACCGGAGAGCTTGGCTGGTCTGGGTGTGAGGCCAGAGGAGGGGCCTCCCCTTCGGCATCTCAGTAGGACCACGCCAGTCCGGCCCGACCACAGTGACCTTCAGGGGACTGACCTTGGACGGGTGTTAAACCTCCCTATTCCACAGCCCTCCCAGAGGCTCTGACTTAGTATTTAGCAAGGGGCTGAGGGATTCTTCATTCATAGCAATGCTCCCAGGTAATAGTCGGACAGTTTCTGGAAGCACTAAATTATTGAATTGTAAGCACTCATTTGCATCAGATGCTGTATAGGCTGCCACCTCAAAGTGTATAGAATGGGATAAAAACTAAATGAAAGTGGATTAAAACACTCTAAAAAAGTGTTGAGTTTGGGGTTGAGGCCTCAAATCAGTGATTATAAGAACAAAATTTCACTAGGATCTTAGAATAAATCCATGTTTTGACAAAGAACTTGAGAAAAGGCTGATATAAAGTAAATGCTTTGCATTTCTTCAGGATAATAATTTTGAGCAGCAATGAGTTCTGTTGAAGCAGAAGGTCTGTGAGTTTTCCCAGTGAGCTGGGGAGCTGGGCCAGAGCCCAGAGGCAGCACCCGGCCCTAGGGGGGGCCTCTCCCTGGAGACCGGCCGCCCTGCCCAACGTGGGCAGCCCTATTCGGTCACTGTCATGAAGACGTTTGCATAGTTCCTCTTCCTTTGAAGGATTTCCCTCACATGCTCTATGGAGAAATGTTTAGATAAGAAAGAAGATGGGCCAGGTGCAGTGGTTCATGCCTGTAGTCCCAGCACTTTGGGAGGCTGAGGTGGGAGGATCACTTGCGCCTGGGAGGTCAAGGCTGCAGTGAGCTATGATTGCACCACTGCACTCCAGCCTGGGTGACAGAGCGAGACTGTGTCTCAAAAAAGAAAAAGAAAGAAGAAGAAGAAAAGAGGAAGAAGAAGAAGAAGAGGAGTGGAGGAAAGAAAAGATGACAAATGTGAGGATGTTGCTAGGGTTCCAGGACACATCTGAGGCTGCAGTGCCCCTCGATGGGCACTGGAACCCCACACCGGTGCCTGGGGCTGTATTTTAACCCCCATTCCCGTCCCCACTCACTTCCCCAGCTTCTCCTCATCCTGCCAAATGGAGAAGCACAGTGGCCCCACCCCAGTACAGACCCCAAGAGATTGTCAAGAACACAGAGTCTTCACAAAGCATTGCCTCAGGACCCTTGAGGGATGCGCGGCCCCTGAGCCCCTGACACACAGGGTGAGCTGGTAGGAAGCGAAGCCCGCAGGCGAGTCCTCCCCTGTCATTTCCAGGCAGGGCCTGCTCCGTTGGTCATTCCCACTGGTGGCTCAGGTGTAATACGCACTTCCAAAGAATCTCAGCCCATAGAAGAAGCTTGTCTCCCTGGAGGACAGGGTGGGTAACTGTCCAGAAACATGTGCACATGAGGTGTGGAGAGGAGGCTTTCCTGCCCAGCTTGGGATCTGCAGGGGTGGGCAGAGGTGGCACAGGCCTTGTGGGCAGAGGTGGCACGGGCCTTGTGGGCAGAGGTGGCATGGACCTTGTGGGAAGAGGTGGCATGGGCCTTGTGGGCAGAGGTGGCATGGGCCTTGTGGGCAGAGGTGGCACGGGCCTTGTGGGCAGAGGTGGCACGGGCCTTGTGGGAAGAGGTGGCATGGACCTTGTGGGAAGAGGTGGCACGGGCCTTGTGGGCAGAGGTGGCACGGGCCTTGTGCGCAGAGGTGGCACGGACCTTGTGGGCAGAGGTGGCACGGGCCTTGTGCGCAGAGGTGGCATGGGCCTTGTGGGAAGAGGTGGCATGGGCCTTGTGGGCAGAGGTGGCACGGGCCTTGTGGGCAGAGGTGGCACGGACCTTGTGGGAAGAGGTGGCACGGGCCTTGTGGGCAGAGGTGGCACGGACCTTGTGGGCAGAGGTGGCACGGGCCTTGTGGGCAGAGGTGGCACGGACCTTGTGGGAAGAGGTGGCACGGACCTTGTGGGAAGAGGTGGCATGGACCTTGTGGGAAGAGGTGGCACGGGCCTTGTGGGCAGAGGTGGCACGGACCTTGTGGGCAGAGGTGGCACGGGCCTTGTGGGCAGAGGTGGCACGGACCTTGTGGGCAGAGGTGGCATGGGCCTTGTGGGCAGAGGTGGCACGGACTTTGTGGGCAGAGGTGGCACGGGCCTTGTGGGCAGAGGTGGCACGGGCCTTGTGGGCAGAGGTGGCATGGGCCTGCCTTCAGGCCCTGGCAAGCCTCACCTGAAGTGCTCACGGCTCTCGCGCGCAGACATGGCTTCACCCCCACTGTGCACACTGGCGCTGGGCCCTGTAGGACAATGAGGCCACCGGCCTGAGCTTCCCCACTGTCCCCACCTTGGACACCTTGGACCCCCAACTCCACAGAGCAGGCTGCACCTGGAGCCCCAGCCCCACTCGGTGCTAACACGTCCTCAAGGGACTGCGTTTACTTTTGTTTTCCAGTTGAGTTTTTCCTTGTGTAAAACTGAAACATTTTGTTTTGTTTTGCTTTTTTAAAATTTAAGCCAATTTTCTCTTTTTCAAACATCTGTGGATAAAGAAAATTACTTCTTAACACTTCATGAAGAACATTCATACTGTCGAAAACAACAAGTGGATTCCCACCCTAATCTCCGTGTCTTCCTGCTTCCATCCCTTCACCTCTCTTGGTGGGTTAAGCTGATTTACTGAGTCTATTTCTAGCTTAATAATTAACCATAAACAGTGGCATTTTTCCTAAAGAAAGGAGAAGTCAGTGTCTCAAGTAGTTGTTGGGAGCAGGCCTTCATCTGGAGACCCTGAAGGGCACCTGACCTTCCCCACCACCACCTTGAGAGGGGGTGAGGACAATCAGCAGGCGTGGGGAACCCAAAAGCTTTTGCTTTGATTCACAGGTATTTCAGTTTGTTTTTAGAGAAAGCATGTAGATTTTCTTCTTAGAGTCTGCCTTTGTGTGTCAGATTCAATATCCCTAACACCATTGTTTTGGGGAGCAGAAGGAGGGAGCATCATGAACCTGCAGAATGAGGTTATGGTGGGATTATCCCGAGAGATACAGGAGGAGGAACATGCATTTCTGCATTGAAGCAGAGTACACAGGGCTTAGGTTTCCAGAGCCCTTTTTAGGGGTGCCGTGAGAACCATGAGGATGCAGCTGAAGCCCACCTGGCCACGGGTGGCCCCACACCTTGCTCGCGGCCCAGAGCTCTCCCCCACTTGGCTGCACCCAGTGCTAGCCGCTGACCCCTGGGGACGCAGCCAAGATAGGGCTAGTGGTCACCTTAGAATAGGGCAGGGGCTGGGGCTGGGGCTGGGGCTGGAATGGGGCACAGAATAACCATCCTCTTCACAGCTCAACAGGGCCTTTTGTTCTGTTTTTACATTTAATACTGTGATTCCAGTAGACATCTACCTGATCCAAAGTTACAATGTCCCAGAGTAGTCCACAGACTGTGAATCTGAGACCTTTCACATAACCTAGCCAAACGGTTCTGAGCTGTCATGATCCAGAAAAAATATCTTCTGAGAAAGAAAATGAAAGTGAAAGTAATCGGAGGAAAGGCCAGATAAATTTCATTTGCACAAAGCACAAGGATTCTTCCCAAAGGTTCCAGATGGGGGGACTTCTGTTTAGGGTCTGACAGATCACAGCTCACCTGTTTTATTATGAAGCATGACTGCTCACCAGGCTCTACTGCTGAACAGGACCTGTTCCGAATTCAGACTTGGCTAGTAAAAGCTCTATAATAAAAACAATTCTTTGATGTCAAATCCCAGCACATAAAATCCCAAAATATGCTTTTACTAAGGTGAACGAGTGAATGGTTTGGATTAACATGTGAACAGTTACAAATGTCAGAGGCTGGGAGGGATATTAACTCAACTGGAAATTTCACTCAAGCCAGGTGTCTGGTTTAAATTTGAAGAGTTGAATATATTAAATATGCTTTATTGAGCTGTCATGCATGAAATTGCATCCTTATGTATCGGACAAACATCGGATGGATTTCCCAGAAGTTTGTGGGAGACCGACAGTCTTTTGGAGACATGGAGGAGAAGACCTTGTCTCCACCCGCCTCGTGCATAGACCTAGAGCCCGGCCAAGCCTGGGGACACCAAGTCCTAGGCAGATGCTGCCCGTGGGGCTGCTGACACCCTGGGCCAGCGGGCTTTTCCACGGAGAATGGAAACGGCCTGGACTGAAACTGCACAGGGGCAGCAGAGTCAACAGGGCAGCTGCTCTCCCTGTGGGAAGCGAAAGAGCAACTCTTACTCTCTCTGCAGAGGACATTTGGAGGGTTCTCCAGCTGCAGCCATCACTCTTCTCTCTATTCCCGAAACAGGGAGCCCCACTGCTGGGAAGAGACAAACACAGGTGCTGTGTGGAGTGGCATGGCAGATAGAATTGAACCATACACATCGGGATTATGACACTTTTGCCTTTTAAGATTGATATTTTTAAATCAAAATTTAAGCTACAGAATAGACAACAAAATATTTTGAGAAACAGCATTATCGAAGATCTATTTGATGTATTAATTTATGAAATTCCATAGGAATCACCTTTTCTGCAAATACTCTCTCAATATATGGACACACATGCAAGTAAATGGTTGTGAATTCATTAATAGAACACTACCCAGCACACTTACTCATCAACTGGGCTCATTTGATCTTTCTAAGCTTCTGTTTCCATGTCTGCAAATAGGAATGATAATAGCTCTTACCTCACAGCACAGTAGTGATGATTAACTAATATCATCTTTAGAAAACTTAACATTGTTCTGGCCGGGCAGGGTGGATCACACCTGTCATCCCAGCACTTTGGGAGGCCGAGGCAGGTGGGTCATTTGAGGTCAGGAGTTTGAGACCAGCCTGGTCAACATGGTGAAACCCCATCTCTAGTAAAAATACAAACATTAGCCGGGCGTGGTGGCGCTTGCCTGTAGTCCCAACTACTAGGGAGGCCGAGTTAGGAAAATCACTTGAACCTGGGAGGCAGAGGTTGCAGTGAGCTGAGATTGTGCCACTGCACTCCAGCCTGGGTGACAGAGTGAGATTTTGTCTCAAAAAACAAACAAACAAAAACTTTATCATTGTTCTGGTACTGTGTGTGTTGGAAAAATGGCAGAAGGAAGATGGGATTCCAGGGAAGTGTCCTGCAGATGAAGGAGGAGATGCTGATGGTAATTGTATGTTGGGAGGGCACAGGGAGAATCCTTCGCATGTGTGTTTGTGTGTGAGGAATGTTTCTTGCAAGTGGAAGGTAACTGTTGCCATGTGTTTGTGTGCCGGGTAGTCCTTTTTCTCCTATGTCTCACCCAATGCATCCAATTTGACACTAGAGCAGAAAACAGATTCCCTTTTTTTTTTTTTTTTTTTTTTTTTTTTTTGAGATGCAGTCTCGCTCTGTCGCCAGGCTAGAGTGCAGTGGCACAATCTTGGCTCACTGCACCCTCTGCCTCCTAGGTTCGAGCGATTCTCCTGTCTCAGCCTCCTGAGTAGCTGGGACTATAGGCGCGCACCACCACGCCCAGCTAATTTTTGTATTTTTAGTAGAGACGGGGTTTCACCATGTTGGCCAGGATGGTCTCAATCTCCTGACTTCAGGTGATCCACCCGCCTCGGCCTCCCAAAGTGCTGGGATTATAGAAGTGAGCCACCACGCCCGGCCAGATTCACTTTTATGCAGGTATAGCCATGAAACTTTTAGAGGGCTAGCTAAATGGTAGTTCCCAAAGGAACAACCTCTTTCCGGTTAGTTGCACTTGGATGCCTAAGTGCTTCTAACTCCAGGAATGGCTCAAGCGAGACAAACGCCAGCCCTGGAATCCAGGTGCCCCCTTCCCCTCCAGGAGGTCTGCACCTCAGGCTGCCTCTTGGACAGCTAGGAGCAGTGAGAGGGAGGCGTGCACCACACCCAGGCGTGTGGCAGTCCAGAGGGCTGTCTGTGGCAGCTGCAAAGATGGCAACCTTACCGAGAGGCACATGTGCCACTTGAGCTCGAAGCTCGGGGGCACTGTGTGCCTGCTTCGGAGCTCCTGAACACTTAGGCTCTGTGACTCTCAACGGGACTCAAGCATTTCTCCTTCGTAGTGGAGTAGCAAACTCGTGTTAAACTAGGCAATGCCTGTTACTAGCTGAAATTTAGTGAAGAAAACCAATTATACACAAGTTTATATATTCCATTAAATATTGCATGAAATAAAATAATGCTTTTTTGGAAGGATAAAATTTCTATATAAATGAAAAACAGTGGGGATACTTGGGATAAAAAGTGGTCAAAGCCCTAAATATCCATCACCCAGTCCAGTTCAGTGCATGCCCTCTAGAATATTCCAGATTATGATTTATGTAACCTTTTATGTAAACAGTAAGATAGTGTTTCAGGCCTTGCAAGCCATATGGTCTCAGGTTTACCTACTGAATTTTGTCAACGTAAATCACAACAAATCATAGAATTCGTAAATAAATAAGCATAGCTATGCTCCAATCAAACTTTATTTTTATTTTTTTGAGACAAGGTCTCACTCTGTCTCCCAGGTTGGAGTGCAGTGGCCTGATCATGGCTCACAGTAGCTTCAAGCTCCTGGTCTCAAGCAATCCTCCCACCTCAGCTGGGACTACAGGCATGTGTCACCATACCTGGCTAATATTTTTTATTTTTTGTAGAGAAGTTTTCTCATTATCTCACTATGTTGGCCAGGCTAGTCTCAAATTCATGGGCTTAAGCAATCCTTCCACCTCAGCCTCTCAAAGTATTTGGGATTACAAGTGTGAGCTACTGTGCCCAGCTAAAACTTTATTTAAAAACATACAAAAATAAAAAAAATCCACAGGCAGCAGCCCATAGCCTTGCTTTGCTTAAACCTTTCCTAGTTAAGAACTTTTTGACTGAGAAGGCTGTAGCTTCAAAATCCAAAAATTTATTCTCAAAATCTAGATGATTGAGTTTGACCATATGTTTTCCTAAAGCAGATGAGTGGATTTAATAAAATAGCAATCAAGTAAATTGGAAACAATGCACAGAAAATGAAAAGACTAAGGAAAAAGATACAATCTCATGCCAGGTGCAGTGGCTCACACCTGTAATCCCAGTACTTTGGGAGGCCGAGGCAGGAGTACCACTTGAGGTTAGGAGTTCAAGACCAGCCTGGCCAACATGGTGAAACCCCATTTGTACTAAAAAATACAAAAATTAGCCAGGCATGGTGGCTGCATACCTGTAGTCCCAGCTACTCAGGTGGCTGAGGCAGGAGAATAGCTTGAACTCGGGAGGCGGAGGTTGCAGTGAGCCAAGATTGCACCATTGCACTCCAGCCTGTGTGACGAGAGTGAAACTCTTTTTTTATTTTTGAGACGAAGTCTCAGTAACCTGTGGAACAACACCAAGGTGTCACATAATTATACCTGGGATCCCAGAAGGAGTAAAGGAAATGAGAGAACAACATTTGAACAAATAGGGGCCAAAACATTTCTAAATTTGATGAAAACTCTAAGTGAATAGATCTAGGAAGCTCAAGTAATCTCAAGTAAAAAAGCATACACATACACACAGACACACAATAAATACTTACAAGGCCTACCACAATCAAATTGCTGAAAACGGGTGGTAAAGAAAACATTTTAAAAGTAGCTGGAGAGAAAAGACCCATTCCATGCTGAGGTGCAAAGGTGAGAATGACGACTGTGGGCTTCATGACAGATACTATGGAAGTCAGAAGACAGGGAAATGGCAGGCAGGCCACAACACACCCAACAGAATGGCTGTCGTCCCAAAGTCTGAGGTTACCAGGCGTTGAGGAAGAGACTGATGCCTTCCTAACAGAATGGCTGTCGTCTCAAAGTCTGAGGTTACCAGGCGTTGAAGAAGAGACCGATGCCTTCCTAACAGAATGGCTGTCGTCCCAAAGTCTGAGGTTACCAGGCGTTGAGGAAGAGACCGATGCCTTCCTAACAGAATGGCTGTCGTCCCAAAGTCTGAGTTTACCAGGCGTTGAGGAAGAGACCGATGCCTTCCTAACAGAATGGCTGTCGTCCCAAAGTCTGAGGTTACCAGGCGTTGAGGAAGAGACCGATGCCTTCCTAACAGAATGGCTGTCGTCCCAAAGTCTGAGGTTACCAGGCGTTGAGGAAGAGACCGATGCCTTCCTAACAGAATGGCTGTCGTCTCAAAGTCTGAGGTTACCAGGCATTGAAGAAGAGACCGATGCCTTCCTAACAGAATGGCTGTCGTCCCAAAGTCTGAGGTTACCAGGCGTTGAGGAAGAGACCGATGCCTTCCTAACAGAATGGCTGTCGTCTCAAAGTCTGAGTTTACCAGGCATTGAAGAAGAGACCGATGCCTTCCTAACAGAATGGCTGTCGTCCCAAAGTCTGAGGTTACCAGGCGTTGAAGAAGAGACCGGTGCTTTCCTACAGTGCTGGTGGGAATGTTCAATGGTACAAGCATTGGAAAACATTCACTGGAAAGAGATTGGCAGTTTATTAAAAAATATGCATCTACTTACTGTGTAAATCAGCAGTTCGGTCCTATAAATACACCCAAGATAAAGGAAAGCACATGTCCACACAAAGACTTGAATCTGAATGTTCATAGCACCATTACTCATAATAGCTCCAAATTAGAAACGACCTAAGTGTCCATAAGGAGACACGTGAATAAGCACATTGTGGTGACACTTTCATACTGTTGGGTATTATTTACCAATTAGGAAAAAGCAGCTACCCATGCATTCAAAACCCTGAATGAGTCATAAACACATCGTGTAGAATAGAGAGGGCAGACACAGAGGCATGTGTATTGAGTGTTTTACGTTCATGCAATTTCTAGAAAAATCTGTGGAGAAAGAAATCAGTATTCGGGGGGGCTAAGAGACTGGAGGTGAACTCGAGGCATGACGGAAATTTTGGGGGTCATGGGAATGTTTAAAACTGAATTATGGTGTTACATCATAACTCCATAAATTCAATGAAAATCATTCAATTATGCATTTACAATGGGTGAATATTATGACATATAAATTGTACCACAATAAAGCTGTGAAAAAAATGAAGATGACATAAAAATTTGTTTCAAACAAAAACCAGATGGGCAAAATAGAAACCTAAGAGCAAACGTGTGGCTTTAGCCTCAACCATGTTGATCATCATGTTAAATACGAATGGTCTCAAAGGACCACATACTCTATGGCCCATCAGTCTAGACGTCAGGAAAATGCAAGCTCATCTTCTGTGTCAGTGGTTGCCTGGGGATAGAGGGAGGACAAGGTAAAAATGAGAGATCACAAAGGGGCACAGATATATACCTACCGCAAGCCTTTCAAATTGCACACAAAAAAATGTGCAACTTATTAAATATTATACCACAGTAAAGATGCAAAAAATGAAATAAAACTTATCAAATTATATGCTTCCAACATATATAGCTTATTTTATGTTACAGCTAAATATACATACATAATAAAAACTAAAAATAAAATGTGATAAGATCCCTAAAGACTTGCTCTGTGAGCTTAAAAATTCCATTACATCCATATTTTTTTTTATTTTTATTTTTTGAGACAGAGTCTCACTCTGTCACCCAGGCTGGAGTGCAGTGGCACAATCTAGGCTCACTGCAACTTCTGCCTCCCAGGTTCACGCTATTCTCCTGTCACAGCCTCCCGAGTAGCTGGGATTACAGGCATGTGCCACCATGCCTGGCTAATTTTTGTATTTTTAGTAGAGATGGGGTTTTAACACATTGGCCAGGCTGGTCAGGCTGGTCTTGAACTCCTGACCTCAGGTGATCCTCCTGCCTTGGCCTCCCGAAGTGCTGGGATTACAGGCATGCGCCACCACGCCCGGCCTTCATTTATTTTTTGTATTCCCTCAGAATCCTGCATGCTGAATATGTATTTAAAAGATTTTAAAAATGTTATTGTTTTAAACAATCCATTTAAAAAAAAAGATTGTCAGACTGGATAAAATAACAGGACTGAAATATATGCTGCCTACAAGAAACAAACTATAAATATAGGTGAAACGTAAAATAAAAGAAAAAAGCTACTCAGGCAAACATCAGACATAAAATGCAGATGTGTTAACGTGAGACAAGTAGACCTGGGGTTTTCAGGGCTTTGAGGTGCGAGGACAGCGTTATGTTAGTGGTGGAGTTCCTGTCCTAACAGGAGTGCAGTAAGGCCTCCTTTAAGCAGAGACTGCAGAATGAAGGAAGGCTGAGCAATCTCGTGGCCCTGTGGCTCTTGTCCTGCACTGGTAGCTGCTCCAGAGGGCCCGTGAAGTTCCTGCCCCACCATGCATCTTCTGCACATTGGTGCACGATGCGGAAGGGTTTCAGTGCACTTGGAATGCCAAGGTGAAAGTCTCATTTATTACACAGCATGGACACATAAATCAGGAATTTTCAGTCAATACAAACATTTATTTTGATATAAAAAATAATTGTTTCTTGTGTGGCTGACAAAGAGTTAAAAAATCAGGAATGCAGGCAGACTTTGAGAATGATGTATCTTTGCTTACTCTTCTTGACAGGTTTCCTATTATTCATGGAAATCGGGGAATTCTGGCATCTTTTCAGGCCACCTGTAGAACATCTGGCATTCGTTTAGGAAAACGAGTTCATTAAAGAAACTATAATTTATTTGACTACTTTGGCACTCATGGGATACACTTGGTTGTCAATACTCTGGGCAAATTTGTGGGTGGGTAATTCTATGAGTGAGCAAACAACAGGGAAGAAACTCTTTTGGAAGAGCTTGTGCTTTGAATCCAGCCTGGATCAACACTGACAAGGCAGGGCTTGTCTCTTCTCCACAGTGACCACAGATATCCATTCTGAGTTTATAATGATTGTGATTTTTTTTGTTTACCACAGCATTACATTTTTACTAAGCAGGTCACATGTGCCAATGCCTAATCACCAGGCTACTAAAGAATAAAGCAAAACATGTAAAAGAGCCCTGGGGTCCTGAAGACCTGCCTCGAAAATCAATGGTGCTGTTTAACTTTCCATCCTTAGAGACTGACAAAATGATTTTTGAAAATACTATCAGGATCCGATATTTCTGTCCTGTGTAAAAATGGGGTAGGAAGGGAAATAGCCAACAAAATTCCTAATAAAGAAAGGTGAAAACAAGGTGACTTTCCCATTGCTCTTCTAAATTAGATCTTTACTTAGGAAAAATGCTTTTTTTTTTTTTTCTGCCATGGGGATTTAAAAAAAAAACTGCTAATTTCATGACAGGAAATTTCTGAGAGTAAAATGTAGACTACAAGATACATTCACTTTTTTTCAGTGTAGCTCAACAGCACATGGGTCAGGCCCCAAAAGAAACATATTTTACCCACAATGCTTTATGATTGACAAGGAATTATAGACTTCTCTTTTTCATTTCTGATTACATAGATAAAAACAAAATTTGACCGAGATCTTTGATGATAATATCCAACATGTGAGAAGATATTTTCTATAATTGCCATACATGAACTCGAGAATTTTGCCAGAATTTTGAATAATGTACCCAAGAATCTGTTAAAAGTTGCCTTCCTACAACTCTAAGGAAGAGAAGGTTTTCCATATCTGGGTTTCTAAGAACTAAATAATTACCTGGAAATTTTGGTTGAAGATAAGCGCCTTGTCTTACAAATGAGAAGGAAAAGAGATGTTACCTAAATATCTTAAATATAATATATTAAAAAATAGAAGCTGTGTATACAAAAGTTTTAAGTCAAGCAGATATTTGACACTTCTCTTGTGAATTTTTTGCTTTAGGCAACCTAACTGGAAAATTTCTGAAGGAAAACATGAATTTTGGTGAAAAATTATCTGATTATTCCACCCCTATTAATCCAATTAATCAAAACATTGAAGAAGAAAATTGTCCTCACGTTCCACTGGGTTGACAGCCTAGATGGTGGTATTCTGTGTGACGTCAAGTTTAGCCTAAAGCTGCCTCCTTACATATTTTAGGGTCAGCCTGAAGACCTCTCCACACTTAGTGACTGTCACCTAACTGGGCGTGCCAACAGACCTAACCCACCCTTGCCCCAAGCAGCCGCATCTCAGCGGATCACAGCAGCCAGGCGTCACCATGCACCGTGGCCCGGTTCAAACTGTGTTTAAATGAGGCCCACGCCAAGCGGTGCCCGTCTGGCTGTTTCTGTGCCTCCGTCCAGTTTTCTTGGCATCACTGTCCTTTCTCTGTCCACAAATCTAACCGGACCACGCGACAGCGACGGAGCCGCCCTGAGCCTATGCTGGGTCCAGGGCTGCCCCATTCACCAACAGTCATTTGCTCAATGAAGCTCTGTGACATTCAGTTTGTCTGAAGTTTGTCTTTTAACATTGGTGATAGAGTGAGAAGTCTGTGAGGAGAAGGGATATGAGATGTTCCAAAATATTATTACATCACAAGCAAACGGATTTCTGAGTAAGAGGATGGTTGGGGCAGGGTCAGGTGGGCCGCACTGGGTGAGTGTCTGGTGAGGATGGGGGAATAGGTGGGGCGGGGGCAGAGAGGAGGAGGCAGGATGGAGGAGAGGGAGAAAGAGGAAGGGGGAGCCAGCAGCAGGGAGAGGGGAGACAGGATTGTATACAGAAATGGAACAAAGCCACCAGCTTCTGCACTCTCCAGTGTGCCCAGGACCTGCCCGCTCCGAGTGGACCCGACAGCACGGGGGTGGCCTGACGCCGGCTGAGATGCAGAATCAGGCCTCTGAGCTACTGAGCTGGAATCTGCCTTTTGGCCGGACCCGGTTGATTGGAACCGCGTTCATTTGAGGAATGCTCCCTGCGACCAGAGCTCCACCAGGACACTCCTTCCCTCCGCCGGCCACGTTTGCAGGGAGCCCCTGAGAGGCAGCGGCAGCCCGGATGCTGAATCCCATTCGCCCCGGTCATTTCCGGAGCGTCTTCCAGCCCGTTCCCCGCCATGACAGCGACGTGTGCTTTGAGCTCAGTCCACAGCAAAGACCACCTTGGTTCTTGTCCCGCCGCAACCACATCCGAAGAAAGGGGTCAGGTATTCTAGGCGTACGGGGACTGATAAATTCCAAAAATATGTTGCCTAGAAAAGATTGTTAAAAATATAAAGGCAAGTTTTATTCATTAATGTTCCCTTGCGCTGTCTGTGAAGAAAGGTAGGTTAAAGAGGTACTTCGAAGCAAATCTGTACCAGGAAAATAGAATTTGTTTTCACATCTTTTGAAAGATAAGTGAAATTCCTTCAGAGTCCACACCCATGCTTTTATAAACCTCTGATACACTAACAAATCCAAAGAAAAATTGAAAACAAGCGAGAAAAAGGAGACAGAAAATGCACAAGATACACCGCCCTTTTTGTTTGTTTGTGATTCAGGGCTCAGGATTGACTGGGTCCTCGGGAGGGGACTCGAGGGCAGAAGGATCTATTAATCTTACAACTATGTGTTTCATTTTCCAAGTGGTCAGTTTTTTAGGTTACTTTATGAAAAACTGAAATGGAACACAGAATATGAACAATTTCTCAGGGTAAGAGCAGCTAGATGTAAAAATAACATAATGCAATTAAAGAAGAAATCTTCCAGCAAATAGAACCCCATTTCGGGGATTTTCACCGTGGGCGTGAGGGTCACACAAGACTGAAGCCCGCCCAGGAGCAGGCGAGGTCACTGCAGGTGGTCAGTTACAGAGCTCTGCGTCATAGCCCTCTGGCCCCAGACAAAATTCACTCATCTATACATTTGCTTGAAAATGCATTATTTGATATTCATTTTGTATACTTAAATACAAAATGAAATGTAACCTGATATTGAAAATAAAAACTCCAGGCAACGTCTACATTTCTATGTATTTAGTCTTTTCAAGGTCTACATTTTAAAAGCAAGAAATGAACAAAGTTAGGAATACATTATTACTCTGGCAGGAAAATTAGACGGATTGATGAAGTGGGTTCTGTCTATTGTTATTTATCCTACTAGAAATTAAACTAAAAAAACTTAAAATGTTTTTATTCTTTAATTAAAAGCACAATAGTAAATCCATTACATGCCAACATAAATAACGTGTAATGAAAAATAAATGTAATTTTTGAACCAAACCATCTTGACTGACAAGAGTGCTATACTTTCTATTGCAAATCCAGTGTCTGACTTCCCGGAAGGCAGCCAGAGTCTGAGGCCACTCCCGCACTCCATCTGTGTGGGTTTGAAGTGTGCAGTGAATACTCAGTGTCACTCCCAAATGTATTAGGAAAGAGGAGATTATTTTAATAACCTTTCCTAGGTAATTGTGGTGATTCTTTGATACCACCCCCAAGCCCCAAAGGTGGTAGCTTCTTAAAGGTGCGCTGTTGTGTGGGATCTGAGCCCTATTGCCTGGGCATGCACCTGCCCCTGTGTCGGCATCCATGGGCCCGTGGCACCGCAGATGGTCTTCGCTTGCTCGTCACTTTATACCATCCCGCAGTGGAAACAATCAGCTCACTGAGTTCTGCAGATCTTCCAAATGTTGACACTTCTCACTACACAATATAAAAAGCATTTCTGTTGACCTCCCCACAGATGTCCTCAAAACACCCTTTAAGCCAGTGACAGGCTCACAGAGGGAGACACAAGGTCTTTGGGATTGTCACTTTCATAGTGATGCTTGAATTTTTATCATAGGCAACAAAAACTGTCAGCCGTCATCCTTGAAATGACAGACTCCCTCATTTTTGAGAAATGTCTGCCAGTTCTAGTTCCCAAGTCTGAATGACCAGGGCTGGCAGGTCGGTCATGGTCTTAAGTAACCGTGGTGACCCATGGGAGGAACTGCCTGTGATCCCTGAGTTTCCATAGCCCTAAATTATTGTAATGACGATATCCATGGAAGACTTGTGAAATTATACAATTATAAAATGTGCAATAAAGTCAACAGGAGATTGCTCTTGGATAAGCCCAGCACAGGGAAACGTAATTTGACAGTTGATTGGCCCCCCGGTGCTTTTCTGAAAAGAAATCACCAAGGCCAGGAGGGACACGAAACGCTTCTTCGTGTGTCGGCCCGTGTGCAGAATATCTCCAAGATATAAATGACTAAGAAGACTTAATTTGCCACCACAATATGTTTGCTGCAATTAATTTGGGGTGACTTGTATTTTAGCTTGGATCAAAAATGGGATCTGAAATGTAAAGAACACTGTTAGATTTCCCCACAGGCCGCTCTCTCTTTGGGTGATTTGCTAACTTTTAATTTGCATTGATTCTCTGAAGGGATCTTAATTCAGATGTCTCTCCACCTCTTCGCTGTAGTTTTACTTGGCCTTAGTCACGTGATCTTTGGGAGGTTTTAGGGAACGTTATCTAGAAAAAGAAATCACTTTAGATATTAACAAATGCAGAAATGAATCAGTCCATTCATCATTAGGGAAAATGAATTGTTCCAGAACCCAGGATTCTATAAAGTAAAATAACACTTACTTTGGAATTGCTAAGGGGTTTAAAAACACCCACTCCATCAAGCCTGTGAGCTGAACCCCAGGCCTGCACGTATGGCGGAGTGTGTAATGCCTGTGTGTGTTTCAGAGACCACAATTCCCAGTCCCCACTCCAGGTCCTGTGCCTCCCTGGGCGCTGTGGTTGGTGAACCCCAGTGGGCTGTTTAGGTGTTGAACTTGTACATAACTTGTACATGTGCAATCTTTGTATTTGTAATCAGAATTGCTCAATACCTCCCCTTCCCTTAGACTATATTAGATAATTTGCACCATGAGTGACATTTGCAAAACTTTAAGAGGTTTTTCCTAAACCATGAGACTGCACATTTGCTAAGGCCCCTTGTAAGTGGCTGAGTAGGCTCCTAAGCGCCTCCACCCCGAGGCAGGGGCAAAATCACATCTTAAAACTTTAAGTCTCATAATACTTTATGAAATAATGCAGGGTGTGTAACCTGCATTCATTTATATGGTATTTAAAATTAATATTCTGAGTCAAATTTAATTTAACTTGAACCAGCTGTCAGCCCAAACAGCTTTCTTTCATTTTTTGAATTTCAGTACACCAACGATCATTGTAAACATTTCCACCCAAACTTCTTCACATAAGTGATGATTAATTCCCGTGTATCACTTTGTTCCTCGGTGATCACAAATTGCATTACACTCAAATTTCACTTAGTGAAAAAGGATGTTAATTTTTCCAGTTCCTATGATTCTAGAATGGAAACACTTTTGGGAGTATTATTTCAAGATCTTGGGACCAGCAGTGAGGGATTTTAGAGTTAAAGAATGGCTTGGCAGAGATACTTCCCATTGTTTTATCCACTGGAAGTTTGAATAGTGTGATGGGTAATGGGCAGAAGAGAATAAAGCCTATTTCTCTTCTCTCAGAATTTGTGTATTAAAGGGACAATGTACACAACCCCATTCCTCAGGATGCCAGCCCACTGGGTGTTATTCATTTGTCAGGGACGTCATCCAGTTAGAAAAGCTCAGCAACTGACCTTGTGCTGGCTGCTATCTATGGAGAGAGAGAGAGAGAGAGAGAGAGAGAGGGAGGGAAGGAGAGAGAGAGAAAGAGACAGAGAGAGATGGAGAAAGAGACAGAGAGAGGGAGAGAGAGAAAGAGAGAGAGACAGAAAGAGACGGAGAGAGAGGGAGAGAGAGAGAAGGAGAGAGAAAGAGACGGAGAGAGAGAGAGAGGGAGAGAGAGAGAGAGAAAAAGAAAGAGACAGAGAAAGACAGGGAGAGAGAGAGAGACAGAGAGACACACAGAGAGAGAGTGTGTGTGTGTGTGTGTATGTGTGTGCGTGTGATTTTTAAATTTTGGAAAGTCCTACCTAAAAATAAGTTGCATATGCATTGCCAGCTCTTTAAAGCCAATCTGTGGATCTAAAACCATCCATTCACTTATTCCTTCACTGAAGAAGCACTGATTTAGCGCCTGGAATGACCAGGCACTCAGAACATCAACATGCAGACGTGGTTTCTGAGCTCAACATCACAGCAGTGTCTTCTCACCAATATTCACAGAACAGCTAATCATTGAGAGGGGACCCAACTTATTCAGCGTTTTTACATTTTACATTGACATTACATTTTACATTAGATTCCTTTCCAAGGGGAGTACCATGTTGATAATGATGGAAAAATGTATCTGAGAAAAGTAAGTTGCAAATCTATGATTTGTTTCCAGAAGCTTGTTACCACAGCGGGCAAACTGATAACATTAAAGCATGTTGACCATGCTTCAGATAAAGAATCAAGATCCCAATGAAGCTACACACTAGTTACTATTTTTTCCCTCCATCAAGAAACACTGAGTTGTGCTGTGACGGGTCAGGTGTCATGCTTCATGTTTTACATGCTAATTATAACTTTTGTAATGTCATCATCATCACCATTGACTGCTGCTTCTGTATCAGGCAGTCTGTGTACCAAACAGCTAATCTTCCAATAGCATAGTAAGTGGTCTAGTTACCTGTCAGGGAGGCACCAAGCAACAATAGGTTCTTAATAAATACTCACCGAATGAACGATAGAATGGTCATGCATGGCATGATAAGCAGAAAATAGGAGACTGTAATAGAGTCAAAATTAACTAATAGGATATATTAGTCAGGGTTCTCTGGAGAAACAGAACCAACAGGAAGGAGAGAGGGAGAGAGAGGGGATCTGCTGTCAGGAATTGGCTCATGAGATTGCTGGAGTTAAGTCCAAAATCTGCAGAATAGGCTGCAGACTGGAGCCTGGGGAGAGCTGATGTTGCAGCTTGTACCCGCGGGGAGTCTGGAGGCAGAAGTCCTTCCTCAAGGAATCACCAACTTTTTTATCTTAAGTCTCCAACCACATGGATGAGGCCCACCCACGTTACGGAGGTCCCCTGCTTTGCTCAAAGTTTATTGATTTAAATGCTAATCTCATCTAAAAGATACCTTCATGCCAACGTCTAGACTGGGCTTTGACCCATAGCTGGGTACCTGGCCAAGCCCCTGGTTACCTGTGCAAGTAACCAACACAAATCGTGTACTAAGTACTGTGCACACCGCAAGCTTACAATCAGACCTGGCATCACAGCGGGTCTTTGTATGGTGACAGCACAGGCCTAAGGGAAAGGGGATTTACACCACATGGTTTATGTAGGGTGCAGGCCAAGCAAGTTCACAAGAGGCTGGTGCAGGCCCCTCGACTGAGCACTTAGCTTGGTGCAGGCCCCTCGGCTGAGTACTTAGCTTTGTGCAGGCCCATTGGGTGAGCACTGAGCTTAGTGCAGGCCCCTCGGCTGAGTACCTAGCTTGGTGCAGGCCCCTCAGCTGAGCACTGAGCTTGGTGCAGGCCCATTGGGTGAGCACTGAGCTTGGTGCAGGCCCTCGGCTGGGTACTTAGCTTGGTGCAGGCCCGTTGGGTGAGCACTGAGCTGGGTGCAGACCCCTCGGCTGAGCACTGAGCTTGTTGCAGGCCTCTCAGCTGAGCACTTAGCTTGGTGCAGGCCCCTTGGCTGAGTACTTAGCTTGGGGCAGGCCCATTGGGTGAGCAATGAGCTTGGTGCAGGGCTCTCAGCTGAGCACTTAGCTTGGTGCAGGCCCCTTGGCTGAACACTGAGCCTGGTGCAGACCCCTTGGCTGAGTACCTACCGACTGTCAGAGGCACACGAGTGCTCTCATGCAGCTTCTCACTTAATCTTCACAACCTCTCACAGCCAGGGGTGACATCAATGCCATTTTCAGATGGGAAACTGAGCCTCAGGGAACTCAATGAGCCACCCAGGGTTCCACTGTAAAGGGAGAAAGGGAAATGAAGGTTCCCCTGTGTCCTGGGAGGCATCCTCTATCATGTGAGTACCTGGAGGCCAGCGTTCGAGGCTGCTCAGGATCACGAGAATCATCAGCACCTCTCAGTTTTCCAGCCCCTGTTTCAGCACCTGATCTCTCCCCAAACATCAGGCTGGTTATATTCAAAGATACACGATAAGCTGCATTTTCCGTTCCAGATGCCAGGGCTCCCCAGGGGCTCTGTCTGTCCCCTTTCAAGTCCCATCAGGGGCCTGCCCTCAGACACCACAGGACCTGACAAGGTATCCACGGCCTCATGATCCTTCACCCCTGCCCCCGGCTGGGGAAAGGCTCAAGGCTGCACGGCTCTGGGGTTCCTAGGACAAGCTCTGGGTGGGGCAGTCTGCCAGCTCAGAGACAGCAGGAGCAGGAGAGGTGAGGACTGGATATCAGGTGTAGAAAAGAAACCGGCTCATCAGCTTTCATCCTCCATTAGCTCCAGCACGATGGGGGTGGACAGGTGGTCTCGGCTGCAGGGGTAGCATGGGGACGGAGGCGGCCGGCCCGAAGGACCATGGGTCAGAAGCTGAGTGGCAGGCCCTGCAGTGGCCACTGTGAGTGTGGGGTGTGGCTATGCTGTGACCACACGACCAGGCTGAGGGCTGCTTGGAGCCTGCATCCCAGGCTCACGCTGGCCAGGCTCATCACTATCTGTACTCAGAGCTGGGTTGACCGTCCTTCCGGGCCTCCGTGTGTGCCCTGGACTGACCTCCAGCCTGGGGTGTGGACAGCAGCATGCTCCCTCCAGCAGGCTGCCTTGCCCTCCTCTGCAGGCCTTTGGCTGCTGCGGCCCCAGCTCTGGGCCATGAGCCGGGCTGGGTCCTTTGGCAGGCCTCCGCTCGTTCATCCCCCAAGAGATCCACGATGCCAAGAAGGTGGCCGGACAGAGGTGAAAAGCCAGCTCTGGAGGTTTAGATGCTATGTTCCCGACTTCCTCACCATGCTTCTTCCTGACGTCCTTAACTCCTGCCTCTGAGCAAAGTTCCTGTGCATGTTTCAGAAATTAAGAATGATGAACAAGGGAACACTGAGAGGGAGGGAACTTTTGTGAATTGATGATGATATTTAGGAGCCGTTGCTGGAAAGCTGTAACTGCCTGAACTAGCGGTGGGTCAAAACTTGGTCCAGTTATCTCAAATACCCACTTGTATGTTTCTGGGTAGTCTTTTCAAGAATTAAAGGAAAGTGAAAAAAAAGAAAAAAAAGCATCGTTTCTCAGCCTTTCTCATTTACGCTTAGAGTCTCCTCACATCACAGACATGCCGGGCAGAGCACTTGGCAAATGTGCAGCCTTAAAACAAGCAAACGAAATCCATTGCCATAGGCCACTTTTTTTTTTTTTTTTTTTTTTTGAGACGGAGTCTCATTCTTGTCCTCAGGCTGGAGTGCAATAGTGCGATCTCTCTCGGCTCACCGCAACCTCTGCCTCCCGGGTTCAAGTGATTCTCCTGCCTCCGCCTCCCGAGTAGCTGGGATTAAGGCACCCACCACCATGCCCTGCTAATTTTTGTATTTTTTAGTAGAAACGGGGTTTCACCATGTTGGCCAGGCTGGTTTCGAACTCCCGGCCTCACGTGATCCACCCACCTCAGCCTCCCAAAGTGCTGGGATGACAGGCGTGAGCCACCACGCCAGGCCCATATCCTGCTTTTTAAAGAGCAATATACGTCTCCAGTTCTTCTCTCAAATCTTTTACATCAGTTTATCAGGAAGCCACTGAGTATCCCAGACTGGATGGGTAGATCTGTACAATGGCAAACATTCACGAGATGAAGAAAACACGAACACTTCTAAGTAGACAAAGCCGTAAGGAAGTGAGCTATTTACGTAATTATGTATGTACAAAAGTATACATGTAAATAAATGCCTATATCAATGTATGTCTATGTAAATTTGGGCAAATATACACATATGGGTGTAAATATAATGCTGGAGGCAGTGCCTCCTTATTTACATCCATGAAAGTGCTGTCATATAGTATGACGATGCCTCAAGGATACAGAACCAGAAATACCATTTGACCCGGCAATTCCATTACTGGGCATATACCCAAAGGAATCTAAAGCATTCTCCTATAAAGACACATGCACACGTATGCTTATTGCAGCACTGTTTACAATAGCAAAGACATAGAACCTACCCAAAGGCCCATCAATGATAGACTAGATAAAGAAAATGTGGTACATATACACCATGGGATACTATGCAGCCATAAAAAGGGTAAGTTCACGTCCTTTACAGGGACATGGATGGAGCTGGAAGTCATCATCCTCAGCAAACTAACACAGGAACAGAAAACCAAACACCGCATGTTCTCACTCATGAGTGGGAGCTGAACATTGAGAACACATGGACACAGGGAGGGGAACATCACACACCAGGGCCTGTTGGAAGGTGGGGTGAGGAGAGGGAACGGACGGGTCAGTAGGTGCAGCAAACCACCATGGCATACATGTACCTATGTAAGAAACCTGCACGTTCTGCACATGTATCCTGTTTTTTTTTTTTTTAGAAGAAATTTTTTAAAAAAAGAAAGGAAAATGCTGTCATCGATGAGAATAGAAGCCCCAGAGTCTCTGTTTTCCTAACAGAGGGACTGTTTGCACTGTGGGTGCGATAGAACAGCTCCTGCCCTGTAACTCAGTGCTTGGGACTCTTGGCATCATGAGATGCCCTGAATTACTGGGATCATCCAAGTCTCCCTAGAAACTGTGTGGAAACATAGGTCACAGGCGCTTCTGTGTGTCTTATAAAGACAAGGCTGCTCCAGCAGGTAAGCTGAAAGTCACGTCCTAAGCCCCCAACAGTCTGAATGGGCTCCTTGTCTCAGTGAAAGGCATTCTGAAGTTAACCTGAAAATCTAGCTTAGGCCACGATGGGAAGTGGGAGGTGTCAGACGGGCCTCCTTATACCCTCCTCCCTTTGGAGTTCAGACACAACTGACCAGCATTCACATTAAAACAGAGATCTTAAGACTTTTTGTAGGAATGACTGAATTCCGTCCTGAGTCTAGTATAGCATCCCATGACAGCAGGCCCTAAAGCAAATGGAAGTATTTTACCCTAAAATATATTTTGTTGACATATTTTGGAATGTCCCTGCAAAGCTGTCTGTTGTAGGAAAATCTACATTCTGTAGAGAATCCCTCTCCCTTTCCAGGCCTTTTCCCTGATCTAAGAGAGAATTAACTAAAAGTCTGGCACCTTATAAGTCTGATAAGAGACACTTGCTGTGGGTTCTTTCTGAGTCTGCGCCCTGGAGGCTGCGTCTGCATTATAAGAACTTGGTCTCCACAGCCCTTACCTTAACCAGGCTCTGCTTTCTATGGATTCCAGGCCTTTAGGTAAAAACTTAACTCTTTCAACCGACTGCCAATCAGAAAATCTTTGAATACACCTATGACCTGGAAGCCCCCACCACCACTTCCAGTTGTCCTGCCTTCCTGGACCAAACCCCTATGCACCTTACATGTCTTGATGGATGACTTATGTCTCCCCAAAATCTACAAAAAAGCAAGCTGTACCCTGACCACCTGGGACGCTTGTTGTCAGGTACCCCTGAGGCTGTCATGGGCATGTCCTCTATCTTGGCAAAATAAACATCTGAATCCATTGAGACTTGTCTCAGAGGCCTTCTGGTTTATGAACAGGTGGAATGGCACTGCTCTCTGCCTGGGCTACTGGGACCGAGACAGACGGCCGCACCCTTAGCCCCCTTGCAGAGAGCAGCAACATCACCGGGACAATCTTCTCCCAGGCTGTGTCCGTGCTGTTTGTCCTCATGCTCAGCTTTTCTGATTTCCGGAACATTCCTTCATCTGAGCCCCTTTGTTAAGGGCTGCTGGAGGTCGGCGTGTGGCCGGGTGCACTAAGCTGTGATTCTACCAATTCCGGGCTGAGGACTCATCCTGCAAGCCCCAGGCAGAGCTGCCTTGTCCATGAAACACCTGCTGCTCCTGACAAGTGCCCACCGTTTGTGGGTGGCCTCATCTCCCCAGGGGCCCGGCCACTTTGGATGCAGACCTTCATTCTCACAGCTTCTGACCCCACCATCAGCCTGCTGCATCCAGTCAAGCAAACACGGTGTACGGTCACCACCTGCCTGCCCCACGCAGATGCCGGCCAGCCACCCGCGCCAACCGCTCCTCCTGGAAGTGGAGCAAGAGGATGAGGGAGCCAAGCCTGGGCTCCAACTCACTGGGTGCAAATGGGATATTTGCTGCCTTACAGAAAATCTTGCATGTGGAACCAATTGTATAGTGTTATAAAGTAGTGAGACCTGGATTTAAAAAATGACGCATGAACTTTTACATTCCATACACTTCAGTGGGCTGTTCCTCACCTGCACTGTGCTAGCCAGAAGCAGTGATGAGAGTCAGCTTCCTCATGTCTTAACGCCTTTTAAAACTCCAGGTAGGGGCAATTCGAAAGATTAGATGCTTTGTTATCGAAATTGTCTTCCCAAACCTGGAAAGTGAAACCCAATGAGCATTGAGCAAATAGACCCTGGAAGCCGCACACCTGCTCAGGAAAGCGGAGGGGGAGAGAGAGAGAGAGAGAGACCGCTTCTGTGGAGCAGCCAACCCAGTTTTCTTATGGAGTCCCAGAGGATACACAGCCCCTCCCACGGCCATGCAGCCAGCCGGTGGGGAAGCAACAACCAGAACCCGGCTTTCTTGAGATCCGACCGGAGGCCCCCAGGAGAACACCCAGCCAGTTGCTCCGTGCTGACCAGGCTGTGTTCCCGCTGTGGTCAGAGCAGCTCCGCCCAGCACAGCTTTCCGCTTCCCTTTGCAGGGACAGAGCACCTGAGTTGCAGGTGCTTAAGCGAGCAGCCGATTACTTTTTCTTGTAAGAACAGGCGTGGATGCATTTCCACATGGCTGTCCTCCCCACGTCTCTGTGGACTTACAATGCACGGCTGTCATGTTTACTTTCAGCTCATGGGGCACGTTCCACACCGTCATCATACTTGGTTATTTCCATTTGATTATGGAATGTTGTACCAGAGCAATGTTGTACTAAAGTTTTTAAGTGAAGTACTGAGCGGGCAATTCTCCAATAGAAGGAAAATATCCACACTAAGAAGAGAGAGAAAATCTACAGGGACATTGAAGTGGTTGAGACCTCAAAATGGTTTTAACTTTCTTAAAAGCCCATCTGAGACAAGAAAACATTTCTAAGCACTTAAGATGTAATGAGCAGGGCGTTTGTAATTTGTTACACTTATTTTCTAAGTTTAACAAAGTGACTAAATATTGTCTATGTCTTTCTAATTTCCATAAAATAACTGTTATGAAATGGAAATATGTTCTTTTAAAAAAACATCCGAATGTTCGATCCATTTCCCTCACTAATGTGGGGTTGACAGCCGAGTGGTTGGGCGAGGTGTGCCCTGCAAACTAAGGTGGATGGAGACATTCAGCAACATTTAGGAATTTTGCCAGAATTTGACAATCGGTTGAATGTGGTACATTTAAAATAGGCTTCTATTTTGTAGTATTTTAATTTTTGTTACCTTTGATTTTTCTCATATTTTATTTTTATTGTATTTTACGGAAGTATTGCTGTGTCGGATTCTATGTTTACATCGATAGAGTGTAAAGTTATACATCTTAATGTATGTTAATGTATGTAGGCGCCTCTAGAGTTCCTCCGAGATGCAGCCGCAGAGACCTCATCAGTCCATGCCCTTAACTCCGTCCGCCTTCTCTGAACTCCTTGGGAATGCATCGGTCGTGAGATCAGCCTGGGCTCTGCTGAGAGAGGCCCACAGTATCGGGCCTCTCAGTGAATCTTCCACCACGATTCGATGGGACCCAGGGTTTTTCAACACCGCAACACAGAAGGCTACCTGGCTGGAGGGGTGAGTGGGCCCTTGGGCAGGTCTTTTAAACTATGTAGACCTCAGTTTCCTCATTTGAAAAATAAAGGAATGGGATTTAAAATGTTTCCCTCTCAGCTCTAAAACATCTATGATTCAAGTAAGATTCTGAGCAAGGTATTATTATCAGAGGGAAGTTGAGTTTCTTACCAACCTTGTGCTGAGCGGGAAGGACCTCCGTGTCCAGCGCCCCGTAGGTCCGACGCCTGTGCGTGGCTGATCGCTTCACGCCCCCATCCTTTGGTTCTTGTAGCAAATAAAGGGGCTTGAACTAGAAATCTGCTGCAATTACTTCTGAGTCTTGGGAGGTTTTGAAATTTTTAATGAGAAAAATGTGAGCAGAAGAGAAATGAAATCCCTCTCCCTGTGAGCTTGGCGTCCCCTGCCTCGCTGCTGGCCAGCGCTGCCCTGGTGACAGAACCCCGAGCTGGCGGCCGGCCGCTGGCATCAGGTTGCAGTGAGTCGCAGCCTACGTGAATGGGTTTGACATGAAAGGGCCTCGGGTATGGGGCATTGCCAACTCCTGATTGTGCCCACGGGGAGGACCCCATAGTCGTCGCCAAGAAGTGGTGGTCGCCACTCTTCCCAGGGGCGAGGAAAAATGAATGGCCCAGTGCAGGCCCACACGCAGGGATGGCACAGCCGGCTTGTGAGGGGCAGAGGCTGGAGCAATGGGGAGGGGCTGTTTCGAGGAATGGAGATAATGAGCGTCTTCGGAAACCCTTCTGTTTAATTCACTCTTGATTGATTGTTAAGAAAAAGAGAAAAGATTCCATTGCCTACAGCGAAGAGTCAATCTCACGGATACATCGGAGCCCCCGGTTAATCCGCTTCATCTTTCATCTGTGCTGCAGTCGTGGATTTTAATGAGTTGCAGGCGACCCATTCAGACGTAATGGTGTGGAGGTCAACGTGGGTCAAGTTTAAGAAGGGGGGGCTCAGGGGTAGAAGGAAGAAACGGGGACGCTTGTCATGATCACAGCCGGGAGGAGAAATGGATCCGCTGGGCTTGGAGAAAGAGGGAAGGAGAGACAGAGAGTGGGAGACAGAGGGGAGAGAGGGCACTATCTGCCCCACCTTGTCTGGATGGCGCCACCCAGGGCGGAGAGAGGTCGCACTTCTTTAACACTGAGACGGCCAGGATTTTGAGGGACAGCTCTGAACCGGCTGATTTGTAGGGAACTAGAATTGTTATTCTTGTGTTTTTTGCTACCACCAAGGAGTTCTCCACAGAGGCCCATCTCTCAGGTGGGTTCTACGAGGCTTCACACTCCCGCACTGCAGTTTTGTGGCTCCATGGCTGCTATGGGACCGTCATGCTGGGGAGGCTGCAGAAGGGGGTGCGGGGCCCTCTTTAGATGGAAGAGGGAAGAGCCAGCCTCATCCCCCTCAAGGACAAAGGCCTGCCTGCTGCATCCCCCTCCCGCTTCTGGGGGGTCTTTGTGAAGAAAAACTTACAGTGTGGTCTTGTGTGATTTTTACTTTATGTTAGGGCAAATGTATTCAAATTACGGCTCTAAAGGACGTGAGGGTTATTCCAGTCTGAGTTTTAGCTTTTAGCTTTGATTTCCTAAATACAGAGGTAATAAAATATTTTCTATTTCTTTGTATTACAGATTTGCTTTTTCACATTTAGATCTTTGAATCACAGATAACACAGATAATCACAGTAATGGAAGAAATCAAAGTAACTAAACACCACTCTGGAAAGGACAGAGACAACAGACCGAGTAGCTCAACTGCTACCGTGAGCATGTGTGTATACAGGTAAGTTGCTATGTACACACGTGTATATGTCCTAACATGAGCATACAGTATACAGGCTAGTCGTCATGTACACACAGTGCATGTCCTAACGTGAGCATGTGTGTATATAGGCGAGTTGCTATGTACCCATGTGATGTATGTACTAATACGAGCATGCATGTATACAGGCGAGTCACTAGGTACACACATGCATACGTATACTAACGTGAGCATGTGTGTATACAGGGACAGTTGCTATGTACACACATGCACATATGTACCTGTGCATAACCAAAGTCTGCAAATAATGGGATATTGTTAATATTTAAAATGATCCTTGAAAACCCTTTAAATTCATTTAAGGCTCAGTGGCTCTTCAATGAGCAGGGGTAGAGGATGGAGGGCCAGCAGCACAGCCATGGTCCCGAGAGTCACTCCTGAACTAGCCAGTGTGGGGGCCAGCCCTTCTGCTCATGCAGCCAGTGGTCAGCTACAGGCACAGTCAACAGTGGTGACAGCATGTTAGGAGGTGCTGGCGTGTATCAGGGGCAGCTCTGTGAACAATGGTGATGGAGCATGTTAGGAGGTGCTGGGGTGGACCAGGGGCAGCTCTGTGAACAGTGGTGACGGAGTGTGTTAGGAGGTGCTGGGGTGGGCCGGGGCAGCTCTGTGAACAATGGTGATGGAGCGTGTTAGGAGGTGCTGGGGTGTATCGGGCAGCTCTGTGAACAGTGGTGATGGAGCGTGTCAGGAGGTGCTGGGGTGTACCAGGGGCAGCTCTGTGAACAATGGTGATGGAGCGTGTTAGGAGGTGCTGGGGTGTATTGGGGCAGCTCTGTGAACAGTGGTGACGGAGCGTGTTAGGAGGTGCTGGGGTGTATCGGGGCAGCTCTGTGAACAGTGGTGACAGCATG
Source organism: Homo sapiens (assembly GCF_000001405.40). Lineage (NCBI taxonomy): Eukaryota > Metazoa > Chordata > Mammalia > Primates > Hominidae > Homo > Homo sapiens. The sequence continues at coordinate 109,896 of NW_004166862.2, forward strand.
TTAGGAGGTGCTGGGGTGTATCGGGCAGCTCTGTGAACAATGGTGACGGAGCGTGTTAGGAGGTGCTGGGGTGTACCAGGGGCAGCTCTGTGAACAATGGTGATGGAGCGTGTTAGGAGGTGCTGGGGTGTATTGGGGCAGCTCTGTGAACAGTGGTGACGGAGCGTGTTAGGAGGTGCTGGGGTGGGCCAGGGGCAGCTCTGTGAACAGTGGTGACGGAGCGTGTTAGGAGGTGCTGGGGTGGCCTGGGGCAGGCTCTGTGCTGTCGACACTGGATCTTCCATCTGGGCAGGGCTCATTGTCTCTTGAAGAAAGTGACAGCTACAGAGGCTTCAAGGAAGCAGGAGTGGGCCGTGCAGATTGTATGAAAGCGCCCTGGCCATTAACACCTTTCACCGAAGCCCGACGGTGCAGTGCCACAAACCTCACTTCCTCTGAGCAACCCCAGGAGTCACATCGCCTGGGCTTGGATTCCCGGCATCACACCTCCGAATGTCCTGGAATCACCTGTTCTGTCTGTGGTATTCAGGACCCTTCCCTGATGATTAAAGATGAACTCCCCTAGAAGAACACACATCTACTGTGCCTGTTAGACCTCCGTAGAAACCTGCAGCCTTTAGAGCTGTGTGATGTGTTCACACACGTGTGGTTGTGAGGGACATCTCTCTTCACACGTGTGGATTGTACCATGGTCCGTGTTGGAATTCTCACAGGGAACAAACGAACCGTCAATTACCGAGGAAAGGTTTGCTGCGTGGGTAACTCGCCTCTGTGCAGGAAGAACCCAGAAGCCCTGCTCCTGCTGAGGTTGTAACTGGACCTGTAGCTCCCCCGTGGTGCGGTGTGTGTGCGACAGTGTGGGGCGGTAAAGGCTACACGCGTGTGCTCGCGGAACTCGGGACACAAGCTCCATGAGGCTCGCCGTGGATGGGAGCACGGGGCCAGGGCCCAGAGGAAAAATGGGGAGTTAGACAAGGATGGGGTGAATCCTGCAGATGCCAGGAGCTGGTCCTTTAGTGAGACTCTGAGGAAAGCTAAATAGGGCAGAAGCCTAGAAGAGACTCTGCAGGCGTGCCTGGGAGAGGACAGTCATAGACTCTAAGTTACCAGAAGGGGATGCAGAGTTGAGGGAGTTGTGATTGTTGAAGTACCTCAGAGTACATTGAAAGGCAATTTTCATGACATGGTGTGCACTCAATACGGGATGGTTTTAAAGAGGGGAGAACCGTCTGCCAGGGGAGCTAAACGTCTGCTTTTTATAAGGAATCTGGCCGTGAGATGTTGGCCTGGGAACGACAGTGCAAGAGGACAGAGGGAGGCCTGGCGGGTGGAGGGCGCTGCCATCTTGGAGATAGAGGGCAGGTGTGATGAGCACAGCATGAGGCCTGTGGGCTCGAGTCGGGGCCTGAGACGGGGCCTCCTAGACACGGCATCACTGAGCGAGGGGAGTGGCTGGACAGGACAGTGACGAATTTCCTCTCAATGGTTCCGCAGCCTTTGCCTCGCCTCACCAGCGCCAGCCAATAACTGCTCCTCAAGGGGCAGACAGGCTTTGCCATGCTGAACAAGCAGAAACTTCCCCTCCGAGATGCCCAGAAGTTTTCACCTGCCCAGGGTGTTGCCTGGGGATAATGAGTTCACAAAATGCTCTCTTTACAAAAAGCACTGGGCTTGCCTGGAGGGGACAGCTACAGACTGACCCCTGTGGCTGGATAGCCCCTTAAGTGTGAAATAAGTAACTTAAGATAAGATTCTCCATAGTAAGGAAATAATCTACCAACTTTTCTTTCTGAGAAAATATACCTAACTGGGTGGGAACTCGACATCATGCCTTAACTGGAATTTTTTCCCCGTACATCCAAATGTATTCTTGAGAGCTTAGGAACTAAGTCATCTCCAAAGGGACTGACACGGAGCAAACCATGGTGATGATCGCTGCATTCGTTATCTCTGAACGTCTCCACGCACCTCATTCTGCTCAGCCTCTTGCTGGACGTGGAGGGGCTTGGCTTTGCTCTCCAGCACTGCGGGGGTCGTGGGCACTGGGAAGTCTCTGCCAGGCAGCCTGTGGACGTGCAGCTGGCAGAGTCAATTGGATCCGTGAGCTCACAGGAGACCGGCCCCTCCAGGTACATGCCATCTGAAAACAACCTTTTAAGGGCAGGCGGTGGCTGAGTCATTGGTACTCAGCCAAGGAGAATGTGTCCCCACAGCTGTGGCACAGCCTCGCTCTGGGCTCACTCTGTGATATGATGCTGGCTGTGTTCTGTGGAAAGCAACGGTCCCATAAACCATAACTGCTAAGGGCTCTGCCACAGGCCAGCATAAGACATGGGCTGAATGTGCAGTCTGAGAGTGGAGGGAGCAGATGGTGAACTGGGAGGAGCCCTGTCAGGCCGCACAGTGAGCGAAGCACTGCTGAGCTGTGAGTGCCCGACGTAGTAAACCGTAAGGCGAAGCCACCTTGGACTAAAGGAAATGTCCACACCCAGCTTGGGGTGGAGTTGCAAACCTCTCCACTAAGCTGCAAACTCAGCTGTGTGACAAATAAAACTGACACAGCACTTAGACAGTGTTTCTCTTTCAGGAAGGATTTTATTTCCAGTACAATCGAGAAGGAACACTGTATCTCTCAATGGTGAAACTCTCCAGGTGTTGTCCCGAGTAATGTTTCGGGGACAGAAAAGATGAGAGGGTACAGAGCTACCCGGGTCAGAACTGTCCCCTCAGGTCAGAGCTGCTCCCCCAGGTCAGAATGGCCCCCCCAGGTCAAAGCTGCCCCTGAGGACAGAACGGCCCCCCCAGGTCAGAACTGCCCCCGACCCAGGTCAGAACTCCCCAGGTCAGAGCTGCCTCCCCAGGTCAGAACTGCCCCCCGAGGTCAGAAAGGCCCCCCGAGGTGAGAACTGCCTCTCCAGGTCAGAAGTGCCCCCCACCCAAGTCAGAATTCCCCAAGTCAGAGCTGTCCCCCCACCCAGGTAACTGTCCCCCCAGGTCAGAACTGCCTCTTCGGGTCAGAACTGCCCCCCCACCCAGGTCAGAGCTGCCCCCGCCCCAGGTTAGAACTCCCCAGGTCAGAGCTTCCTCCCCAGGTCAAAACTGTACCCCCCACTGGTCAGAACTGCCCCCTGAGGTCAGAAAGGCCCCCCCCCAGGTCAGAACTGCCCCCCCTAGGTCAGAACTGCCCCCCACCCAAGTCAGAACTCCCCAAGTCAGAGCTGTCCCCCCACCCAGTTAACTCTCCCCCCAGGTCAGAACTGCCCCACCATGTCAGAACTGTCCCCCGACCCAGGTCAGAGCTACCCCTCCCCCAGGTCAGAACAGCCCCCCCCAGGTCAGAACGGCCCCCCACCCAGGTCAGAACTCCCCAGGTCAAAGCTGTCCCCCCACCCAGGTGAGAACTGCCTCCCCAGGTCAGAATTGCCCCCACTCCACCTCCAGGACATGGCCCAGCCACTTGTGGATAAGCATCATGGGGACGGAAGAGAGGATGGAAAGTGAGAAGACGGGTGGGAAAGTCAGACAGGCCAGCCTCAGGCCCCTCCCATGGCTTCGAGAACTTGGACCCTGCAGGTTCCCTACCAGGGCTGCTGTGCCTACTGGACACGTTTTGCTTGGCCAGGCCTGCGTGGAGTGGGGACTCCCTGCCCATCCTGCAGCAGGAACGCAGTCATAATTCATCCTGCAGTTACAATTTAGCAAGTAACTGTTTTTCTTTTCTTTTTTTCTTTTTGGAGATGGAGTCTTGCTCTGCTGCCCAGGCTGGAGTGCTATGGGGTGATCTTGGCTCACTGCAACCTCTGCCTCCCGGGTTCAAGTGATTCTCCCACCTCAGCCTCCCGAGTGGCTGGGATTACGGACACGTGCCACCACGCCCAGCTAATTTTTATATTTTTGATAGAGACAAAGTCTCAAACTCCTTACCTCAAGTGATCCACCCACCTCGGCCTCCCAAACTGCTGGGATTACAGGTGTAAGCCACCACACCCAGCCAGCAAGTACTATTTTTCTTAAGCTACTGCATGAAAGTTAAGACAAAGATTAAAATGAAAAATATGCATCTTCTTTAAAACATGCATTTTAATGAACTATAATAAAGAAACAAATGTATATTGGAGATTTTTTTAAGACGGCAATTGTTGCAAAATCTGACAAAGTTCCAAAAACAGTTTCAGAAATCCCTGAGCTGATCAGCACAGTTTTAATTGTTCAAACTACATCTAAATATAGTAAATTGTACCATGATAGCTTACCAATGTCACTTTCAATATTTATAAGCATGAAGTTCAATTTATAATAAATGGAAAATTTAAGAAATATTCTAAATTACTGCTGCATGTCAGTGTCTGTGAATTATTAACAGTTGGGGTAAACTGTGGCATTGAAACATTTTTTGGTAACCCACATATCCAGGAGTTAGAGATATATTTAGCTACGATGTAAACTTCTGGAGCAAATGCAAAAGACATTCATGCTGAATCCAATACTTGAAATTAAGTTTAACAGAAGGCTCCATCCCAGAATAGGTTCCATATCCAGAGCTGCAAATCGGCCTGAGCACCAGCATTCTGGAAGCTAAGCCAGGTGTGTCGCATCGTGCTCTGCAGAGTGGTCCTATAAAGATCTCCAGAAGTGGCCTCCGTGAGCGGACGTGCTGGAAATACTTCCTTGTTCGTGAGCTTACTGGAAGCAAGGTAGCCCAGGGCTTGGGAGAGTGCGCTCCAGGGTGGGGTGGTTGCTGTGAGACCAGATGATGTCACGGAGACGCTCGGGATGTTTTTGCCCTTCCACACTCTTCACGGCCTCCCGTTTTTGCTCCTTCCATTCATAACAGCCGCAGAGATCATCTCGATTGTATCTAAATTGCTACACACTACGTGGCTATCCAGTCCATCTCAGTTTTGTGCAGGTCTGTTGGGTCTCCGCTCCTCAGTGCAGTGTCCCCGAAGCCCCTTCCTTATCAACTGAAATTCTAGAGCCATCGCTAGTTGAACCTTACTGGTTTCTGCCTTGGCAGAGCTGGGTGACCTTAGGCAAGACAATTAATCATCGTATGCTTCAGTTTCTGCAATATTACCTATGTCATAGGTTTATTGTTTTGTCAAAGATTTAAATGAATACATTAAGGATGTATAAAGAAATTAGGATAGTGTCTAGCATTCAAAAGTGCTGGCTGTTGTCAAAGTTACTCTTTTCATTTTTAATATAAAAATGGCGTGCGTGTTATAGGAGACAGATGTGGGGGAGTGCAGGTGAGCAGGGAGCTGTTGTCTTGGGAATTCGTTTCTCATCTCTGCAGTCTTTGAGGAAGAGAAGCTGAGACGTGGAGCCTGGATTTTCCTCTGTGGTCTGCAAACATTCAGCGCTTCTCTAAGCTCCCATAGCTGTTGTATTTGCTATTAAATGACCTAAAATTTGCTGGTAGTTTGTTTTGACTGTTTCCTCGTTTGGGGGCTCATTTTTGCATTTCCAAGGGTATATATGAGCTTCCTTCCTCCCTGAGAGCAAACACTTATTCTTCCGTGAAACATCCACTGTTCATCGCAGCGGTGGGCATGCAGAGCGCAGCTCAGTCTCATTGAGGGGGTTGTTCCAACTGAGTTCAGTGACCACTGAGGGCTTAGCAAGATCTTAGGAACTAGACTCAAGGTCAAAGGGCTTCCCAGCTATCCAGGAGCTCCTTTAGAGAAGAACCTAAAATATTTGTATGCCATTAGTGTTTCCCTAGCTTAGTTTTTGGCTGATTGTCCTGAATAGTCTATAATTGAGCCTGACAATTACTATTGCACCCTAATGTATACACAGCCGTTTATTCATTTATATCTTTGACGATTTCTTAATGGAAGCCATGAACTAAGCTGGGCACTGTGCTCAGAATTAGCATAAAGAAGGCAGAGTCGAAGAACCTCACATTGTAATGAAAAAATTTGATATAAACATGTAATTAAAATAAGATTACTGCACTATATTAGAAAATATATGCAGTTAATGTTGCAAACAGAGAGGCAAGCAATGTAATCCAAGTTTCAAGAACATTTTAACTGAATAATCCTTGGTAGGGAGGCCATTCTAAGCTGAGCCGCAGAACCTTCAGAAGGCAAGGTGTGTCCGATGGCTGATGAAGGGTCTGTTGTAGCTTAAACCTGGAGCTCACAGAGGAAAGGGGGCACAAGATGACAGAGATGGGTGGATTCCATGTAGACTTATGAGCTACGGAGGAGTTCAGGCTCCAGCCTACAGACTTGACCAGATTTGAGTGTTTATAAAGAAAATCCTGGAGACAAGTAGAATGTGCTTTTGGGAACGGAGAGCTGAAATCTGAAACATCAGGTATGCCAGTCTTTGAATGGTCTGTGTGTGAGACCATGATATCCCGTGATGTGACACAGGGGTCAGGGTTGCAAGGTGTGTGAGAAGCAGAAGTCATTACTTGACGAGCCAGTCATTTCCACAGCTCCCAACAAGGAGACGGAAGCTCTGCGTTTCTTAGAGCCCAGTCCTGGGTCCCATGACACACACATTTTGCTTTGGTGTAGAACGCAGAACAGTGGCCTAAAGCAAATAAAATTATTTAATATGGAAATAGTAGAATATAGACAAATTGTAGAAAATGGGGTTGATGGTGTCTGCAGTGCTGACATATTGCGGGAATAGCGAAGATTTCCAGAAGAAGAATTCCAAGTTTCCAATAAGAAACTTATTAGCCCATCTATAACAATCAAATACTTCAGTTTTAATTGTAAAAATATTCACGATGTTGTAATAATGCTTTATTTCATGTAAACATGCAAGAAAAAATCTTTTGTAGGAGCCATGAGTTCTATGTAGCAAAATGTACTGTGAGTCTAATAGGTACAAGCCTAGGCTCCAATGAAAAGTATTTATCACGCTCCTAAAACAATTGATGTTTCCCAGAACATAAACCATAAACTCCACATTTTTATTTTATCATGGCACAGTGGAAAAGGGGGTGGCATATTCCAAATACAATCTATCAAAGTTTTCCTTATTTTGTCCCATACTTACTCTGTTTTCATGTTAAGCCTGTGGAACTGTTTCCCTAGCTTTAAGAACATGGCAACAAAAGACGCAGGAATCAGAGGATTCTGCCCCATAACTGAAGTATGCCCTTGGCTGTGCTGCCAGGTTAAATCCACCTCACAGCATCCGGCCTCCTGTTGGGTGGACATCCACGCTTCCCCTTTTCACTATCCCGACCCCACCCTAAATACTTGTTTTCGGAGTTGGCCGTGTCAAGCCTTGACTTACACTAGAAGGGTTACTCTTCCCTAAATACTTCATTTCGGGTTTGGCCGTGTCAAGACTTACGCTAGACGGGATGCTCTTCCCTAAATACTTGGTTTCGGAGTTGGCCATGTCAAGCCTTGACTTACACTAGAAGGGTTACTCTTCTATTGCACTCGTAGGGCAGAGAGCAGCCTATATAGACTTTGGGTTTTTTTAAAGGTTTTGCTGCAGCACCTAACTTCGAAACTTTGCTTAACTTTTGGAAGCACATGCAGTTCCTCAGAGAGATACTTAATGACTTCTAAAGTAGGTTGCCAATAAGGAAGAAAACCTTTAATCTATAAGGTGAAAAAGGGCCAACTGGGAGCTGGTGCTGTATCATGCCCCTGCTCTGAGATTCTGGGTCTGTTTTCTCATTTGTCAGATAGAGCCACAGGCCAGACAGTGTATGTAAAAGTTCCCTTCAATCTCAAATAACAGTGATTCTATGACTCTAGGTTCATTTATTCTAAATCATTTCAAACTTGTTAGGAGACGGATTTACAGTGCAGTCCATGAAGCTTGAATGTGAGCTCCCTCAGCTGCCGTCTCTTGCAGGGACTCAGGAGGGAAGCTGGACACATGTCTGTCTTCACGGAGTCTGGACAGCTCTCCATCCCCTCCCATGTCCTCTCTGCCGCCATTCCCTGGTGTCTGGTGGCATCGAAGGGATCATGAGGACTTTGAGATCCAATTTGAAAAGAGATGAACTGCAGTAATTTCACTCTGGCATGGTGGGATCCACTCATGGTTCACCATCACGTCTGTGGATAGTTGAATTACTGCTGATCTTCCCAGTGTGGAAGTGGCTTCCAGAACATTCACCCAACCACCGTGTGTCTCACCCGGCCTGTGACAAGAAGGAGCAGGGCCAGAGGTCAGTTCCGACGCAGAAGGGTCCTCCAGGGCCCAGGGGGATGGACAGCCAGGCAGACACAAGGCTCAAAGGCGCCGACCCCGAAGCTGCTCTGCAGGAAATTCTTCCAATCTGTACACCCTAAATTATATGCAGGTTCATCCCCACCTTATCCAAACAAAAGTCCTCGTCTGTCAAGCATCTCCTGTCGAGAATGCAGTACATGCAGCGATAAACACATCACACACAGGAAAAGGCATGTGGCACAAACACAATGGCAATTACTTGTGCAAGGTAGAACTTTTCAGAACCCCAGCGTCGGCAGTGCCGGGCGGGGCTGGCAGTCGGAAAAGCAAGTTCTGCGGCGGACCACGGGTTTAGGCTCACCGCGCAGTCCCAATACAACTCTATTTCCTGCGACTCTGGAAACTGAGTTTTCTTTCTGTTCTCTCTAAGGAAAACAATATTAAAATAGAGATAGCCATTGGCACATGAAAAGGTGGTTGAATAATATGCAGAAAAATTGGGGGAAATGTGTATGTGGGGCCGTTATTCAGTAGAAACATTGTATCACGTTCAGATGGGCCTTGTTGGAGAAGATTTGCTAGGTTTTCAGAACGCGTAGTGTTGTTGAGGTTTCTCTTCTCACTGCAGGCGAGGGCTTCCTGCTGTCCTTCCTGTTTGTAATTCGGTTTTACTTTTCTTACAGGGCTTCCGAAATCATTGAAGTGTCAAAACCTGAATCCACCAGAATGTGTCCATGGAACTGAAAACTATCAGATATTTAGACAGGGTGCGTTAAAGGGCTCACCGTGCGTCCGTTTTATGCCGTAATTATGTGCACAAATAATTGCATGGCCGGCGTCGCGTGAGACGCGGGAAGGACCGGGGAGCGGCAGAACCAGGGCTTCCAATTCCCGTCCGCGTTTAAAGCGCGCCAGCGCCCTCTGGTGCTCAGGCTGCGCAGCGCGCCGGCTCCGCGGGTGCCGCCAAGGGCCGGGGCTGCCTGGGGGCCTGCCCGGGGTTCCAGACCTGCTGGACCGTGCATGGCTCATCAGGCCGGGCCTGTCCAGGGGTTTGAGAACCGCAGACCTGCAGGACTGTGCATGGCTCATTAGGCCGGGTCTGTCCAGGGGGTCCAGACCTGCAGGACCGTGCATGGCTCATCAGGCCGGGCCTGTCCAGGGGTTCCAGACCCGCGGGGACCTTGGCTCCATCAGGCGGGAACCGCCCCGCGGGATTCTGAAAGGATGAATGCATTTTCCTCTTTCTAGCATGGAAGGATTGTTAATTATTTCTTCGTAGTTTTCTGTGCTTCCCTTTCTCCTTTTTGCCTCACCTGCTCTTTCCTCCTGAATCCTGAGTGATTTGGGTAAAGCCAATGGTCGGATTACCTGGGAAGAAGCTGGGAAGCCAAATGTATGAAGAGCGGGGCTTCAGATAGGGGCCACGGAGAGCCCAGGCCCAGGAGGCCTGCAGAGCCTGGGAGGAGGGAGGCTCACCCAGCCCGGGGCCTGGCCCCATGGGGGTCCTGCTGCAGAGGAGGAGGGAGGCTCACCCAGCGCTGGGCCTGGCCCCTGGTGGTCCTCCTGCAGATGTAGCCGTGAGGGCTGCTGACCCCCTCCAACTTCACCGCCTCTCCTGAATCCCAGGCCATCCCAGCCTCGTCTGGCGGTGTGAAGAGTGGATCTGAATTCCAAAGATCTGGGTCTTGCTCTGACTTTCCCCATTTGCTGCAGTTTGAGGAAGTAACGAATTATTTTGGAATCTTCATGTGTGTACATTTTAATTTTTAAAATAAGGGTAAAAAAATTCCACCATTGCAGGTGACTGAAAGTGAGGAGGGAGAGCTTGTGTGGAAGGACATGAAAAATTGCTCTCGGAGCCAACAACTGCTGCTCCCTTCTCCCTGCACCCTCTAGACAGGCGCTGTTCCTGACCCTGTGAAGAGGCAGCGTCATGCGGGGCGATGGGAACACAGAGACTGCAGCATGGACAGACGTTTGTGTTGCAAGCAGACACACACCTCCAGGGTAAATGTTTATTCCAGAGGCACCACCATTCCCACGCCCAGCGAGTGTGCATTCTTTCTGGATTCAGAGCCCCACAGTTGTGTTTGTGAGTCATCAATGGTGAACGGTGGGGCCTTCTGGGGACAGGGGTGTGATCCATGTCTCCGTTTTCAGGTGACAACACCAGTCCCCCACCCACCTCACCCCAAACAAAGAGGCCACTGATCCGGGCCGCACAGACACCGCAGCCAGCAGCCATGCGGCCCCGCCTTTTCATTTATTAAGCAGAGATTAATAATGGTATATTTACGGCCTGTCTGCGGCCGAGCGACACTGCGGCATTGATTCATTTCTGACCCTAGTATTGCGGGAACAACGACGCCGTTGAGTTCGCTGCTAGATTTATCACTTGAGGAGGTGGGAGGAGAAGGGGGTTACTGCAAATAGAAAACGCACCTCTGGAAGCCCTTATTTATGAGCTGCTCAGGAACCGACCCCAAGACATAGCCACGCAGTTTCCAGTAACTGGGCGCTGTCACTGGCGGGGCCTCCCCAGGTGGTGGCCGTCGGAGGCTGTGGCCGGGAGGTGGCCCCGGTGCCGGCCGGGCCACACGGACAGCGTCTGGGGCAGCCGCGCCCCTCCGTCCCCAGGCCGCAGGCTGGCCACCCTGGCCGGGCGCGCACAAGATTTACACACCATCGGCGCCCACAGAGTCGACGGGCCAGCTCAGCTTTTTCATTAGCGTCCCCACATGGCACAGCAGAGAGTTCCTACGTCACCTCCAGAATGTATTATGCAAGGGCTATTTCTGTATTTCTGTATCTACTGAGAGGTTATGTCAGGCAGCCCATCAACGGAAAAATGTGAAAGCAGGTTGTGACAGAACGAATATTCAGCCCAGCCCAGCACTGGACACAGATTAGGAGTTCATAAAATATTAATATTTGTGGGCCGATGGATTTTTGTCAGCTTCTGTGGTTTATTTCTCTTCTTTTTTCTCTTTCTTTTTTCCTTTTCCTCTTAAAAAAAAGAAGTTTAAAATGCATGACATACTATCAGTTGTTAATGAGAAAGTAAAAAGTGTAAGAAGTATTCTAAAAATAACAGATGTTCTTTCTGTATTCCTATTTGTGATTTTTTTTTCTTTATTAAAAAGAACCTTTGTGTTTGCACCCTGGCGGGTTTCACTGCTCTGAAAAAGGGACTGATGTAATTTAAAGTTAGTTAATATTTAAAAAGCGGTTCCTGCCCACACTCAGCATTTGTGGAGTCAAACGGAGGTTGTGCCGGTCCGTCGCTGAGACTTATCTCAGGAAGCGCACAGGCACGGTGCTCGCCCTGAGAGTGAGAATCGCTTGAACCCAGGGAATGAAAAGGTTATTATCCCTGACTTAGGGCCTATTCCCTTCCCCACTTACTGTTACCCTTCCCTCAGAAACATTCACAGTCGAAAATGAGGATTGAGTGTATCTCGTGAGAAGAACCACCTGGTTCTCCCGCAGAATCATAGCCCAGGATGAAAGCATTTCTCCCACTGAAAGTTGAATTTAAGGACCCAACATCTTTTCATCATATGGCACACCTCAGAAAACAAAAACAAAAAGTACAGAGAGAAAAGCAAACCCAGCGTCACCCACCTCGCCCGAGAGCCGTGCTCACTAGAGGCCAGGTGCCTCATTCCTTCGCTTGAACCCGGGAGGCGGAGGTTGCAGTGAGCTGAGATCGCGCCACTGCACTCCAGCCTGGGCAACAGAACAAGACTCCATCTCAAAAAAAAAAAAAAAAAGTTATAATCGTTTGTGAATACACAAGTGAAATTTTTGTAGGTGAATGAGTAAACCTTTATTAAAGTTTGCAGTAACTTTTCCTGTTTGGGAGCCAATAAAATTGTGTTCAGAAACATTTCCGTAGACTCTTGAAGAGCTTGTAGCAGCAAAAGAATCGTGTGTGTAGTGCCTGCACCACTGCCCGGGGCTGACCTCACCTGTGCCTCTGGGCCCCTCCGTAGGAGGATGGACGACGGCCCTTGAAGATCTGCGCGTCTCCACCCACCTAGGAACCTGCGCTTTTCCTTACCTGGCAAAATGGACTCTGCAGTGCAATTAAATTACTGTTTCAAGCTGGGAATCTGCTGGTGAGATGGGGAGGTGACCCTGGCCCATCTGGGGGTGGGGACGCTGACACAGGGTTCTCATAGCGGGGAGGCTGGGGATCCAAGTCAGGAAAAGGAGCTGTGACCCCAAAACCAGAGGCTGAGGTGTGACGATGGGGAAGGGGCCGGGAGCCCAGGATGCAGAGAGCCTCTCGCGCTGGGAAAGGCAGTAAGAGGGATTCTCCCTCAAAGCTCCGACACCTGGATTTTAGACGCCTGGATTTTAGACTTCCGGCCTGCAGAACTGTGAGGGGACCAATCTGTGTTGTTTTAAGCAGTGATTTGCAGTGATTTGTTACAGCAGCAATGGAAACAAATGAGCAGTCCTAGGATCTTCATCCCAGCTGCTCCTGGGGTCTCAGGATGAGACGCGGGGCCCGGTTCCCCTCACACAGGGTCTCTGCTGGCCTCTGAGGGCCCCTGTCCCAGACGAGGGGCTTGGCTCACCTGCCCCCCTAACTTGGCCTCTTTCAACATGATGGACATCGTTCTGCTCTCCAGCTGCTCAGAGGGCAAGGCCTGCACAGAGGCTGTGGTCCATGGATTGGAGTTTGTGGCCCAGCTGTGGGGAGTATGGAGAGAAAGAGCAGGAGATACGCTGGGGTGCTGGGGACAGGGAGATCCCAGGCCAGGCAGGTGCCAACCTGCAGGCTGTTGGGCACAGAGTGGGTTGTTCTCTAGGAGTGAGATGCCAAGGTTTCGAATGTGCCCAGCATTAAGGATTCAGAGATACCTAAATCAGGAAGATGGCCAGCCTAGGACAGATTAGGAATACCAGCAGATCCTTTTTTTAAAAAAGGTAGACTAAACTCGTGTTTCAGCTGTGCAAGATTAATACTGATTATAATCACCCATGCGACTTGCTAATTATTTTTATCAAAACTGACCACAAAGGGTATTTCCAGATGCCAGGGTAAAAACAGAGCCAGGCACTTTTATTCACTGATTATTCATCCTTTTATTCTTGGCTTGTCCAGGAGTCCGGAGCTATTTTAAACAGCATCATTAGAACTGTCTCTGCAAACCCCGTCCGCTGGTGTGCTGACTGTGGATAGGTCTCCGCCAAGCCGTGGCTCCTGTCGTCCTGACATAGACGCCGCCATTTTAACGCTGACCTCCAGGGGCTGGTGGCTGGACCTGCGCGGCCATCACTGCCCAGACCCAGCAGAACCCCATGGTTGCACACATCTCCCACTAACATTCGGCATCAAAAGTCAGGGAATCGACGTTTATTGCGAAGTTCAAGACGGCTCACTGGTCTGGATATTCTGTTTTATGTCTTACTTGACTACACACTTAAACTCTATGAAAATGGTTCTGTGTCTGTTCTCTAAGATTAGGAGCTCCCTTCTTTCACAAATAAGGGAAAAGTACACTGAAAAAAAATGTTTGTAAGTAATTTCTAGGCCAGGCGCAGTGGCTCACGCCTGTAATCCCAGCACTTTGAGAGGCCAAGACAGGTGGATTACCTGAAGTCAGAAGTGCAATACCAGCCTGGTCAATATGGTGAAACCCCGTCTCTACCAAAAATACAAAACGTTAGCCAGGCGTGGTGATGTGTGCCTGTGGTCCCAGCTACTCAGGAGGCTGAGGCAGGAGAATCGCTTGAACCTAGGAGGCAGAGGTTGTAGTGAGCCAAGATCGCGCCACTGCACTCCAGCCTCAGCGACAGAGCAAGACTCCATCTCAAAAAAAAAAAAAAGGAAATCTATTTCTATACTTTGAATGCTCACTTTTTAATAATTCTGTGTTTGTTAGTATCCCAGAAGCTGATTCTATTTATGAAAAATGCACCTGATATCCTGAGAACACTGCCAAGTGTGCACTCTGGATTGGCCTCTGCACACACAATTGTCCAGTTGCTGAGGGCTGCCCCGAGCTGAGCACTGCTTTGCGAATGTTGGATGAGCACTTACCTTAGGCTTAGCTGCACGAGAGCCCTGGAGCAGTGTGGGGTTTGTGAAAGAGCACAGGCTCCCCTGGTGCCCAGCGAACCTGGTGGAGTGAGATGAGTTTCCCCTTATGACAAGGGAAATAAAGATGGGATGAAGCATCCACTGGGACAGCCCAAGGGCCGGGGTCCTAAAGGCCAAGGGCATTCAGATGCTGACGCTGGAGGCCTCCTCAGTGAGGGAAGCCAGTGCCTGCCCTGGTGGGGAGGATGGGAGCACCTGGCCACACAGAGAAGAAGGGAAGAGGACGACTCGGCACGAAGCCGGCTTTGAAACTTGACTGGGAGGGAGTCCAGCAAGAACGGAGCCAGGCAGGTTTATTCACTGATTGTTCATCTTTTCATTCTCGGCTTGTGCAGGAGTCCAGAGCTATTTTAAACAGCACCGTTAGAACCGTCTCTGCAAACAACATCTACTGCTGTGCTGACCGTGGACAGGTCTCCGCCAAGCCGTGGCTCCTGTTGTCCTGACATAGACGCTGCCATTTTAACACAGACCTCAAGGGGCTGGTGGCTGGACCCACGCGGCCGTCACTGCCCCGACCCAGCAGAACCCCGTGGGCGTGGTTGCACACGTCTCCCACTAACGTTCAGCATCAAAAGTCGGGGGATCGACATTTATTGCAAAGTTCAAGACAGCTCACTGGTCTGACCTCGAGGGTGTCCCTTAGGCCCGTCTCTCAGAGTGTGCATTGGCTGTAATGGAGAAAGTGAGTTTTCCTTGGATTCTGCCCTGGTTTGACCTCATCACACTCCAGGACACAGAGAGCCCGGCTGGGTGATCAGAGATCGGTGTCCTCGGGGAGCCTGCAGTGCCCCTGCTGAGGGCTTCAGGGGCTCAGGAGGTGAAGTGGCTGACTCTAGGTAAAATGGGCTCCGGGAGAGGCACCTTTGTTTTAGGGTGGTTTTAGGATCATTAGGTGAATGCAGCGACCTCACCCAACTACGGCCTCAGGGCCTGGCTCCCCTCAGCCCCCCGGGGCTTTGATGGTGGCCTTGGGACCTGTCCCAGAAGTTGCTGGCTGAGTACAACAGACCTTTGCTGACCAAAGGAAGCAAGGAAAAGAGTTTAGCTGCTCAGGACAATGACTGCATTTAATGACCTCTCCTGCTAGAAACAAAAAAACAGTGGCTCAGGCCTGGGGATGAGAATCAAGTTTTACAGATGGTGGCAGGAGTTCATTACACTGAGCACAGCCAGCCAGCGTCCTGCAGCTGCAAGTGCTCCAGGAAAGGCACCTCCACTTCTGGTCTCATCTCGAGGTCGGTCTCAGTCAGCTGGGAGTGAAAGGGACACATTTACAAGTATTCTCTGGAGACAGTGCAAGGTGCTTCCTGCTGCCATCCAGGACAAGAGGCTCCTGTGCTGGGTGCCTGATACTCTGGCTGGGATGCTTGCATCCTCTCCTTTGCTTCTGCCTGGATCCCTCCCTCCCAAACTTGGTGTCAGAAGAGAAGAGGGACCTCTGGGGACGCAAACATCATTACCAAAACTTTAAGGCCACTTTTCAACAAAAAGGGCATCTTTGAAAGACTTTCAGATCAGAAACAACGCTGTCTCTACCCTCCCACCCCTCCAACCTCAGATTTGGGTGCACTACCATGCAGAATATATCAAATCAGACTTTTGCTATGATAATCTGACTTTTATCAAAGAGCACTGAGAGGGGACAGCCTGGCTGAAGACCACCCCAACAGCTGGTTTTTTTTTTTTTTTTTTCAATTTTTGAGACAAGATCTCACTCTGTCACCCAGGCTGGAGTGCAGTGATGCCATCACAGCTCACTGCAGCCTCAAACTCCTGGGCTAAAGCAATCCTCCCACCTCAGCCTCCTGAGTGGCTGGAACCACGTGCCTGCATGTGCCTGCACCACGCCTGGCTTAGTTGTTTTTTTTTTTTTTTTTTTGTAGAGATGGGGTCTTGCCATGTTGCCTAGGCTGGTCTTAAACTCCTGGGCTCAAGCAATCCTTCCTCGGCCTCCCACAGTGCTGGGATTTTAGGCATGAGCCCCCGCACAGCTCTGTGGGAATGCAAGGCCTTATCCCAGGAACACATGCTGCTGGGGGGATAACCAGGAACATTGGCCCCAGTTTTCCACCTGGATCTGGGAAAGAGACATCACACAGCTCAGTGTCCAGGAGTGGGGGCAGCCCAAGACTCAGGCTCAGGTTTTCCACCTGGATCTTGGAAAGAGACATCACACAGCTCAGCCTCTAGGAGGCGGGGCAGCCCGAGACTCAGGCTCAGGTTTTCCACCTGGACCTTGGAAAGAGACATCACACAGCTCAGCGTCCAGGAGGCGGGCAGCCCGAGACTCAGGCTCAGGTTTTCCACCTGGACCTTGGAAAGAGACATCACACAGCTCAATGTCCAGGAGGTGGGGCAGCCCAAGACTCAGGCTCAGGTTTTCCACCTGGATCTGGGAAAGAGACATCACACAGCTCAGCATCCAGGAGGCCGGGCAGCCTGAGACTCAGGCTCAGGTTTTCCACCTGGATCTCGGAAAGAGACATCACACAGCTCAGCATCCAGGAGGCGGGGCAGCCCAAGACTCAGGCTCAGGTTTTCCATCTGGATCTGGGAATGAAGACATCACACAGCTCAGCGTCCAGGAGGTGGGGCAGCCCGAGACTCAGGCTCAGGTTTTCCACCTGGATCTGGGAATGAAGACATCACACAGCTCAGCGTCCAGGAGGTGGGGCAGCCCGAGACTCAGGCTCAGGTTTTCCACCTGGTCCTTGGAAAGAGACATCACACAGCTCAGCGTTCAGGAGGCGGGGCAGCCCAAGACTCAGGCTCAGGTTTTCCACCTGGATCTCAGAAAGAGACATCACACAGCTCAGCTTCTAGGAGGCAGGGCAGCCCGAGACTCAGGCTCAGGTTTTCCACCTGGATCTGGGAATGAAGACATGACACAGCTCAGCGTCCAGGAGGCAGGGCAGCCCGGGACGTGGGCTCAGGTTTTCTGAGCTCATCTACTTGGTCTCTCCTCACTCACTGTATGACCTCAGGTAACTTCCTGAGTGTCTTCATGCCTCAGTTTCTCCGTGTGCAATAGGAGTTTTGTGAAGATTAATTGAATTAATAACTATGTCGGGACAAATGTATCAGCTCCTGGCACTTGGTAATATAAGCCATGACTCTTCACTGTTGTTATCATTTGATATTTGAGCTTAATGCCAAAAGTTTCTCCGGAGGAAGGTGCAGCTCTCTCGAAGGCGCTGAGCTCCAGCAGGGAATGTACATCCCAACTCATAATTTCCTTCAATGTTAAAACATGAGCCAGTTGCCTGTGACTTTATTCCTTTCGTGCATTCGTGAGTTTACTATCAAGGAAATACAGGTAAGCTCTTCACGTTTATGTTTTCACACTCTTAAAGGCAACTCTGATTCTGATGTTTTAGGCTTTAGTCCATGTTTATCCTGTCTTCTAATTGTTCTAATTTTATGCATGTCTATAATAGTTGTCTTATGTTTCTAAATTACTTTTTATCTTTTTATGTTTTATAGCTATACCCTTTTTCATGATTTTTAGTGCATTAATGCCTGGGAGTGACAGCTGTTTACAATTCAAATCCCACATTCTGCTGCGAACTCTCCTCCTCTGTGTCCGGAAGGTTCTATCCACTTTCCTTTTGTGCATTTAGTTATTGGCACTGCTCCTTCTCCCCTAAAAGAATTCTAAGCAATTACACTTGCTCCATTTCCCTTTAAGGACTCGAACTCACTTCTCCCAGCAAGTCACACTGGCTTACTTGGTCATTGATCTTATGTTTTAGTCTCATTTCCGAGAACCTGCTCATCTGCGGTTGCCTTGTGTGTGTTGGAGACCTTCTCAGAGATGGGGTCATTTTGACAAAGTCACAGAGCAAAAGCCATCACACATCAAAGCCAGGGCTCCTCTGATGCTGAGCCAGTGGTGGGGCCAGGGCTTCTCCGATGCTGAGCCGGTCCCTTTATCCCGTACCCCATCCTCCCTGTGTGAAGGGCATGTGAGACAAAGCCCTTCCAAGTGCAGGACCTGACTCATAGCTCTGACACCTCTGCTTCCTGGGCCGTGTGTGGACAGGCACTGTCTTCTTGAGTGTAGACTGTGTGTTTTTCATTCTTCCATCTGCGACCCGTGGACCTGGGCGTGGGCGATATGGCTGCATTGAGCCTCTAACTGGCTTTCTTATGATAATTATTTTTATTTTTATTTTTTTGAGACAGAGTCACGCTCAGTTGCCCAGGCTGGAGTGCAGTGGTGTAATCTCAGCTCACTGCAACCTCCGCCTCCCCAGCTCAAGCCATTCTCCTGCCTCAGCCTCCTGAGTAGCTGGGATTACAGGCACCTGCCACCATGCCCAGCTAATTTTTGTATTTTTAGTAGAGATGGGGTTTCACCATGTTGTCCAGGCTGGTCTTGAGCTCCTGACCTCAGGCGATTCGCCTGCCTCGGCCTCCCAAAGTGCTGGAATTACAGGTGTGAGCCACCGCGCACGGCCTACAATAATATTTTTAAAACGGCTTTCTCCTATTTTCTTTGGCCTGTCTAAACTTAAGTATCCATATTTCTGTTTTCTGTGTTTGGATATATATATATATATATAATATTTTCCCCATTTTCTCTCATTTTCCCTCAATTTCCTAAAATTTGCCTTTTTCCTTTTATTTTCTTATGACATTATTCTTGTCAAGTACAATTGCTTTTGAATACAAAGTATTTTGGTTTATGATGTTCATGATTTGTCCTGAGATCCTAAAATTTTTGAGGAGAAACCCTTGTCTTCACTTCTAAGACTATTTTATTTTAGTTCTTTTCTCTGCATCCCCCTTAACCAGCTAATAACATTTTGTCTTGATTTCATAATATGATAGGTTTTCATCTTTGTGACTACCATGTGGTCACTTTTACTCACTAGGCTTTTGAACTCAATTTAAACAGAATAACTTACCAGTGCAAAATATGAGGTTAGATGAGTAAGTTGGAATCAAAATTCTGCCATGTTGGGCAAATTATTCACCTACATATTGTGAAGTGTTGTGTTATTTCTCCTTATTTATTCTTATGGGGTCTTATTAAAATCTTAGCATTTGTTAAAGAAAATAATATTCATCATTTAAAGACCAGACGGTTCAATCTAATGAATTTTAATAACACAACAAATTAAACCACGTTTGCCCCATTCTGTAAACAGCGCTGCCTGCTTTTCTGTCCTGGCACAGTGTCCAGGCTTGGCCACGAGGGGGCACTTGAAACCTGCCTTTCGGTGCCTGGTCGTCGTCCCCTGAAGTGAAAAGTTGCCCTTCCGGTTATTTCCCTTCCTGTTTGTCTGCCTCCGGGGTGTGTGGCTTCATTATCAGATCTCAGCAGCTTATGAACTTTAAAAAGGGTAATAAGCCCTGTGAAAACCCCCTTTGTGCACGTTTTCAAAAATGTATTTAACATCCAAAAAGAATGTTATGACACTCACTGTCTCCACGAGTGAAAATGTGTGTGCACATTGTGTGTGTGTGCATGTATGTGTGCATCCATACGTGTGTATGTATGTATGCATCTGTGTATGTGTGCATGCATGTGTGT
Organism: Homo sapiens; assembly: GCF_000001405.40. Lineage (NCBI taxonomy): Eukaryota > Metazoa > Chordata > Mammalia > Primates > Hominidae > Homo > Homo sapiens. The sequence goes on from NW_004166862.2 coordinate 129,722, forward strand.
GCGTCTGTGTATGTATCCATATGTGTGTGTATGTGTGTGCATGCATGTGTGTGCATGTGTGTGCACGTGCATCGCTTGCATGTTTTCTTGTGTGTGCATATCTGTGTGTGTGTGTGTGTGTCCCGGATAAATAAGCCATCAACTAAGAAGGAAACAGGCTGGCCTTTGTCTAGGGCCTGCCTTACATCTGCCGGAGTCCAAAGTCCACAATTCTTCCCTTTCGATTTCTGCCTTTTCCATAACTGGCACTGACCAGCAGAAACAGAAATGTGTTGTGAGGTCACCACCATCACCTTTCTGCTCATCCACACGTGTGCTGGGGTCTGCTGCCGGCAGCGGTGTGGCAGGACTCGGCGGTCTCTTGTGCAGGTCTGCGTCTCAGATGAATGAGGATGAAGTTTTGATTAGATGCCCTCTCCGTTCCCTGAAACTCTGGAATTCTAGGCCTGTCTCTTTTTCCTGCTTCCTTCCCTCCCTTCCTGCTTTCTTCTCTTCCTTCTTTCTTTTCTCTCCCCATCCCACCCTCCCTTTTCCCTTTTTCTCCCCCATCCCTTTACTCCCTAAATGAGTGTCTGAGGGGCCGACCACAGTGCCGTGCTGTGTCCTCTGCGAGTGTGTATTCAGAACTACAAGAAATCACTTTGTTCCTTCTCCTGTGTACTCACGGAACTTGATTCTTGCCCTGAGAAGAAGGCAGGAACCGGACACCTCCATCACCCTCTCTTTTTACACTTTCCAACGTCAGGACAGCACCCTTCCCTCCACTCCCACCTTCAGACTCTCAGAGGAACAGGCCATCTTCAGCTTGCGTTAGAACCTCTCCTCTACAGCCAGGACCCAGGTGTTTTCACACATTCCCCAGGGTTTTCTCTCCAATCAGCTTTGCGCCCCATCCCTCATGTTCACATTCCATTTAGAGAGGAAGCTGCACTGGCCCTGAGCCCCGCATTGCCTGGTGTTTCCCATCACTGCTCCACTGACCTTCCTGTCTCCTGCCGGGACGGTGGCTGTGGCCCCCGAAGCTGGGCTCCTGCCTTCCCTTGCCCCCCACACCCTCCTCGAGGCTCCAAGAGTGACAGGCTGTGGGCAGCCTCAGTCCTCTCCCCTCTCCATCTGCTTTCAACCAGGAATTAATTCGAGCAGGAACACCGCAGTGAACCCTTCCTGGCAGAATAGGACTGTGGTGTTGAAGGCAAGGCTCAACCACCCTCCACCAGCCTGGCTGAAGTTTTTGCAGAACCATGCTGCCCTCCGGGTCCCTTCCCCCAGTCCTTCTCCCTCCCCAGGAGCCTGAAGCTCTCCCCAGCTTCTTGTGCTCTCCAACAAGTCCCTTGAAAAAACTGATCCCATATTTCAATTTGTTATGAATCTATGTTTCTTTATGTCTCAGAGCATACTATTAACACTTGCTTTAAAGGAATAGTGTACTAATTACAACATGGAGGTCGGTCTCCACTGACACTTTTCTTCTGGGATTGGGTCCTATTTTTCTGTTTCCTCGGTTGAAGATTGTAAAGGTTTTGCCACTGTCCTGGACACTGAAGGTCACGTGTTCAGATTCTGGGTTCTGTTGTATTCCTCCAAACAGTGCTCAGCTGTGTCATTGCTGTTGTTGGTAGAGCGGACACTCACTTGACTGGAAGCAAACTGCAGGCTCTGTCTTTGGACAGCAGGTCAAATCTCAATTCAGACCTTTCATCTCTAGCTGGGCTGCTGGAGGTGTGTCTTGCATATGCACAGTTCAGGGGTCATCAGGTATTAGGGTAGAATTTATATACAAGATGCGTGGATGCCCCTCTCTGTCTCTTTCTCCACAGATTTCTCCTTAATGTCTTTGTGTCTATGGTTACCCCCAATTTTACCCTGCGGTGTTCTTCAGATGAGAAAGACTGCAGGTTACCTACTGGAGTTTCACTGCCCCACATGGCCTGCTGGAGCCTGGCCTTGGGGTAGAAGCTGTGAAGCTGGTATATTCACTCTGTGCCAACTCCTCTCCTCCAAGTGCTAATTCCAGCCCAGAAACTGCCTGCTTTGGAGCATGATGTAAACTTGGCCTCCCTTCATGCTACATACAGACCACGGAAATGGGACAACCACCCCAGGGTGCTCTGGGACCAGCTTGCATTGATTTGCAAGAGTGATTGTTGAACATTCTGCAATTTCCAAGCTGGCTGTTCCATCATTTGTAGCTTGAAACCAGAAGTTGATTAAACATGGTGGGACCATTTATACCATGGTACTTGACAAACTACAAACCAGGTGTGTCTGTCTGTCTGTCTCTCTCTCTCTCTCTCTCTTTTGTGGGGAGGGCAACTAATGAGTACCCTACTACCCAAGACATTTACCACTTTATTTCCTCAAATGTTAACTCTCACTCAGGACTTGCCAGCTTATGGTTTTTCTCTGTTCCTCCAGATAACTGTTATATGTCTCTCTCTCTCTCTCTCTCTCTCTCTCTCTCTCTCTCTCTCTCTCTCTCTCTGTGTGTGTGTGTGTATGTGTGTTAGGAGTACGGTAGTAGTTCTACAAAAGAACAACTACAAAAGAAAACTCATAGCTGTTATCTCAAACAAGGTGAATAGGCTCTGATGGGAGCCTTTCAGCCATCATTATAAACAAAAACCCTTTCAATGTATCTTCAATAAAAAGATCCTCTCTCTTCTTTCTTAGACATCATGTGATCTCTGTTCGTATGACAGGCTCTTCTGATCCAATCATCTCTACTCATTCCTTAGGTTAATTTTTGGCTTGATCAGTATTAATGTTCATATTAAGGCTTTTCATAATCAATTTGTGACTTAACACAATTAATATATTTAAACATCTATTAAAACTGAAATACATTTGTGCCCATCTATAGAGAGGGAAGTTTCTCACATGTTCTCTACAAACACTGGCTACTTGGTTACAAGAAACACTTTCACATTTTCTAGTCCCACAGGCTATTCACCAACTCTTATGTTTTGTCATGAAGACTAAGCTTAGCTCATAGTGGCAAATGTACCACTTACTCAGTCATTCCTTCAAAATGATTTATTAACTGCTTGGATAATAACCATGTAAACAAGTATATTCATAATTACAAGAACTTGTACGTCATGAAGTAAAGAAACTGTGATACAATTGCCCTAATAATAGAGAAACTCATTAGAGAGTGTGTTTGTAGAATGTCTGGCTGTGCAAGTAATATTTAAGCTAATATTTAAAGGATGAGAAGAAATTGTTCACTAAGGAACTGAAGAATTAAGAAGTAAACATTCCAGAACATTCCAGGTATAAGGAACCTTGTGCCAAATTCCCTAGGATAAGAAAGAATTTTTCAGCATGTCAAAATAACTGAACGAAGCCAGTGTGGATGGATTTTAGTAATCAGGCGACAGTGATATGGAAGGGGTAGGAGTGAAAGCAGGAAAGGGTGCCATGTAGAGTACTGCAGACCAAGTTAAGCCACGAGCCTGGGTTTTATACATTGCAATGGGGAGACGTTGAAACAGCATAGTCAGGAGTGGCTGACATAATTCATAGGTAAAAAGATAACTGTGACCTGAATTACCAGCGGATTAAAGAGGGGAAGAGAGGGCAAAAGAAGAATCCAGGGGGCTCATTGGGAGAAGCTAAGGCTGTGTGGGCGGCAGGTTTTTGTGACTTGGACTCGGGTTAGGGCAGTGGAGATATGGAAGTTCCTGGCTGTTCAAGAACCCAGTCAGGCTCAGTGGGTTGTGTCATAAGAAATACGCTCTGGGGGCCAGGCGCGGTGGCTCACACCTGTAATCCCAGCACTTTGGGAGGCCGAGGCAGGCAGATCACAAGGTCAGGAGTTCAAGACCAGACTGACCAATATGGTGAAACCCTGTCTCTACTGAAAAAAAAAATTAGCTGGGCATGGTGTCACGCACCTGTAGTCCCAGCTACTTGGGAGACTGAGGCAGGAGAATCGCTTGAACCCGGGAGGTGGAGGTTGCAGTAAGCCAAGATCACGCCACTGCACTCCAGCCTGGTGACAGAGCGAGACTCCGTCTCAAAATAGCAAACAAACAAACAAACAAAACATGCTCTGGGAAGGCGTGCCTTGCTGAATCCTTAAAAACATCTGAATGTGAAGATCAGGTAGAAGGCAACACACTTCTGAGCCAGCATAGAAGGAACAGATAGAGAGGTTAGGGAGACAGGTGCTCGGCTTCAGAGTCATCTTCTGTTCCTCATTGCCAGCTGGGTGTCCTGGAGGAAACATTGGTGATCTGATGGTGGGTTGGAGGAGAGCAGAATGCAGAGGACGCCATGAGGATTTCCAGCTCATGTGACTTGCTGCAGGATGGTGAATTGAAATTAGAACTCTTAGAGAAAGTGGTTTCTGAAAAACAACCTGAAGATGTACACTTTTTGTGTATTGAGTTTCAAATGCTGGTAAGATATTTTAGTTGGAAATGACAAATAGGTGATTGAATATATATGATTTGGGAATTCTAATGTATGTTCTGGGCTGGAGGGAGAACTTTTGGAATCAGCACACAGATGAGATTTAAAGCCGTGGGAGTCCATAAAATTACCCTGGTAGTGATCTTCTCAATTTAATGCATATTTCTGGTGATTTCTTTTCCCTTACTTCAATCTGCAGTTCACCAGGTATAATTGGCTAAGTAGTGACCCCAGAGATAACGTGCAGGCCGGCATCCTTGGAACCTGGGAATGTGAGTTTGTTTGGAAAGATGGGATTAAGTTTAGGATCTTGAGATGAGGTCATCCTGGGTCCTTTTATAAGCAGTGTCCTTATAAAAGAGAGGCAGGGATTTAGACACCCAGAGAAGCGGAGGGAATATGAGGACAAAGGCCATGTGCTGAGAAAAACCAGTGCGAGAACGCTGGCTGCTGCAGGGGTGAGAAGAGGAGGGAAGCAGGGGCGAGAAGAGGAGGGAAGCAGGGGTGAGAAGAGGAGGGAAGTAGGGGTGAGAAGAGGGAAGCAGGAGTGAGAAGAGGAGGGAAGGGGCTCTCTCCTGACCCCAGGGGAGTGCGGCCCTGCTGGCAGCCGCAAGGGTGAGAAGAGGAGGGAAGCAGGGGTGAGAAGAGGAGGGAAGGGGCTCCCTCCTGACCCCAGGGGGAGTGCAGCCATGCTGGCAGCCGCAGGAGTGAGAAGAGGGAAGCAGGGGTGAGAAGAGGAAGGAATAGACTCTCTCCCCACCCTGGGGGGAGTGCGGCCCTGCTGGCTGGCACCTCCGTCCCTGGCTTTCCCCCTCCAGAACGGCGAGGCAATGGATTTGTGTTGTTTAAGCCAATAAAGTTGTGTAATTTGTTCTTGGCAATACTAGAAATTCATATACCAGCTACCAAGTAGGGCCTGGAAGTCCTTATTTTAAGCCGGAACCCCAGGTGATCCTGGTTAGTGGATCACCGTTAAGAAACGCTGACCTAGGGCGATACTACATGACTGAGTTTTGAAGGGTATCAGAATTAAACATTTAGTAGGAGAGAAAAAGCGGCTCCAGGACTTGGGAGGCCCGAGATGAGACACAGAGAGAAACAGTACTTGGCTCCTAGGTTGTTTTTGTCTGACTCCAGTCGCATAATTGCACATTGGAAAAACAGTCTGGAAATGACGGGATTTGCATCGTGTTTTCAGTTCGTCAAGCGTCTTGACTCTGTCTGGATTTGTAACTAAACAATACCAGCAGGTGAGAGTGGTCACACGGAATGAATCACAAACGATCTTCAAAGGACAAACGTGGTGAATCCTCGAACTGGCAAAGGAAGAAGTAAACTCTGCCCCCGCAAGCTCGCGCGACGCGACACCGCGGCCTCTCCTTGGCCCACTCACCACTTGGACGCTCTTCTTCAGGCTGGGAACATGCGCTTCCTCACAGCTGGAGCCATTCCTTCCTCTTCTTCAAAGGATTTTCTGAAATTCCAACCCCACTCTGAAATTGTTTAATAAACTATCACAGTTTCACCTTCTCACCCTTCCACATGAGTAGCCTCTCTCCAGTAAGACTTGGCCCTAAAGGTGGGTGCTTTGACCTGAGTGTCTACGCCAGGGCAGCGCCGGGGGCAGACAGAACCACCTGCCCTGAGCTCCCGGCTCACTGGTCTCCATGCCTCGTTGGGGGCGAGACTGCGGACTTTAATCTTCTATCTTTGAATTTTCCCTGGATCCAAGCTGGGCTGCACTGCAATGCTCCTTGCCCTCCTTCCTGAAACAGCTCATCTTTGTCCTGGAAAAATGTCATGCTTGAGGCACTTTGGCCCTTGGGAAGAACAAGAGGGAAGACGGGAACCTCCTTTTTCTGGAGCTCCTACTGCGACTGGACCTTGCTGGCCGGTCAGTTTCACTCTCTGTTAAGCGCTGATCTGCTCCGTCTGTGAACCCCTCGTGGATTTTATACATTGGAGAACAGTCTCCTGTTGCACTACTTCTCTTAATTTTCTTAACTCTGTCCTTCATTTAAAAGAAATCCTTAATTCTGATGTATCAATTATGTTAACTTTTGTTCTTTGGCATATTATTTAAAAAGTCTTTTTATCCCAAACTTACAGATATCCTTACACGTCTTCTTATACCATCTTTAACATTTTTACCTTTCACATTTAGGGCTTTCATGGATCTGGCATTCACCAGGTGTCATGTGGTGGAATCCAATTTATTTTTTACGTTCTAGGATTCAGCCACCTTCAATCTCCCTAACCGTTTCTAATAGTTTTGACATTTGTTCCTTACCAATCAACCTCCTTCTCAGCGATCTGACGTCTCCAGGACTGAACTTGGAGGAACTTCCCTGTAACCTGTGTTAGTTTGCTGTCTTGTTGGAGGCTAGACGCTAATAATACCTGGGCTCATGTTTTTTGAGGGTGTCATTCTTTCTTTTTCTCTTGATGTTTTAAGCCTTTTGTAGAACTCAGGATTCCCAGCACTAAACCTCACCTGTGATGATTGAAAGTGATAAGATCCTTCAGTACCTCTATCCAGTGGTATTCACTGCATTCCCACCCTGTGGTGAGCCTCATGCTTGGTGATGCAGGGTGAGGAGGCGGGGAGGGGACTACCCACGGAGAGCCTGGAGGCTCAGGTGTGCTCAGGGGGGCCTGGTGCACTTGGCCTTTTGGGAATGCAGAAGTCCAGGGAATTGGTTTATTCAGGGACCTGGCTCTGTGCCTACATGCTCTAAGTGAGGAGCCATAGGCCCTACCAGTCCCCATCTCCGAGGGCAGGAAGCCAGACGTGAGCATTGAGGAAATGGAGGCACTGGGGAGGTATCATCCAGGGTTCTTGCTCACCAGGCCTTTGCATAGCAGTGGGGAGAGAACGGGCCCAGGGAGGACTCACCAAAGACCCATGGGAGCTGCATGGAGCATCCCAGGGCCCCAGTGCTCCCTCCTTCCACAATGTGGATGGCAGGAGGGGTATTCTGAGGACCCTCTACGTGGGCCAGCCTTTCATTTTCCTTTGCATCTTTCAATGGAGTTAAAAGTAGAACCTTCCTACCCCCATTGAGGACAGGGGCACCTAACTTCCACACGCCACGGAAACCCCCAGGGCACTTGAGGGCTGATGTCCGGTAGGGGCCAGCACCTGCTCCTGGAATGAATTAATCAGCAAAATCATTGCAGCCCCCACATTATTTTCAACAAATATTAAGGTGTTCTCTAATCTTTCTCCCATTTTGGTTATTCATAGTGTATCACCACTATCTGAAATCACCTTGACTATTTGTCTAGGTGAATTATCTGTCTCCCCACGAGGATGTACACTTTATACTTACAAGGTCCTGTTCATCTCACTAGTCCCTGGTTCTTCCTGTCTAAAACAATACTACGCCTGTAGTAGGAGCTCAGCTGCTATTCAGGTCAATGAAAGGTATGAAGGGGTGACTGAATAATGATTTAATGCAACAAGGTAGGACTTCAGGTGCCCTTGGCGGTCCTGTCATTAGCGGAGTCATTGTGGAAAGAAATGCACCAGTGCTAAGTAGAATTAAGCACGTAAATAAAGCAGTCGATTTGTTAGGTTAATCCCTTGGCAATAGCTCTCAGTTTATTTTATGGGCACATTCTTATTTTATTTCATTATCATTTATTAGATTCAAAATATTATGAGAGCCTTGAGGACCCATTTAAAATAATCTCCACATCCACAGCCATCGCAGATTATGACAACAAATGTGCTTAATTGAATCATGAACTGTCACACTGACTCCGCTGCCCCACGCTGCGACACTGTTGCACCCCCATGCTGGGAGCTCAGTGACAATGCCAACATCGTGCATCTGTAGTGCAGGGAGTGGAGCCTGCCATGTCTTCACTGTCACGCAGATGGCAATGTCACAGGCACGGCCATTGCTGGGAAATGCTACACAGCTAAGAGACAAATCCCAGCAGTGACGTGGCACATCTCAGAAGTGTAGCTTTGAGTGAGAAAATAAAAAGTAGGATATACCTCATAGCAAAAAGTTGTTTACATAAATCAATAAACACACTCACAATAAACAGCACTGCATACCCCACCTGTAAATATGCATCTCCGAGCACACATCTGAAATGCGCCGGGGGGGATAAGTGAATGGGACGAGAAGTGGGGTGGGGGCAGGCACAGAGAGGAGACTAAAGACAGAACAGGAGCTAACCAGGGGCCGTGGTAAGGGAGCAGGGCCAGCGTCACCTCCTGCACCCGGGGCCTACAATGCCCTCACTCACTGGGAGGAACTGCATGTTGCAGGGAAAGTTGAGTTCCTCTGTGAAATAACTCGCTTCCATTAGAAGGTATTAAAGGTCCTCAGACTGGAACCTTCCTCAGCAAGCGGCAGTATACACAGGTAAGCACTTTTGTATTTTCTAAATAAACTAACAAAATGAACTCTAAATGGAGCCATTCCTCTCGGGGGAAAATGCCCCATTCTTAATAGCTTGACTTTTCGGCTGTTTCATTTTGATGGTTTATAATTCAGTTAAACACATGTCCTGTCATACTGGGTTATGGCCGGGGATGTGAAGGTAATTTTCACTGGGTCCTTGAGTTCCTCATGTTTTGAATCTAACAGATGATCATGGAATATGGTTGTGACCATAAAATGAATAGAGAGCTACAGTCAAAGAATTAGCCTGACCATGCCTTTTCTTAGCGGTTAACTGTTGTGCAACAGAAAATGACTATTATTCAGTTAACAAACAAGGCCTAAGTGGGGTGTGAGCTCTGCACATCAGGAAGCTCTGTATGAATTCTAAATGAGGACAAATGTGAATCTTTGTAAAAATTATCATAAACAATTTGGGCTCATAATACAACTACACATTATGAATGAACACTAAGTATTTAAACTTTTGTTAAGAAAATTTTTATTCGTTAAGAAATGAAGGTAATGGACAGTGATCAGTAATACCATCTGATAATGAGGTCAGCCTCATGCTAGCTTCTGTATTCTGGGCTAGCCTAAGGCAGACGTGTGATCACCTCACATTTCTTTCCGTTGCTTTACCCGGCCTCGCCTAGGTTCCCCTCCTTTCCTCCTGTGTGCCTCCCCTGCTGCCTACACCCAGCCTTGACTCTGCTGCTTCTCCCCTCCCAAGGCTGAGGGACCCTGACCACAATCATGCCTCAGACTCTGGGCTACCCTTTTTTCCTCTCTGTCTTGGATTTTATTTTCTGCTTTCTAAAGTGTCATCATCATGCACTTTTTCTGAGGTCATACTTTTCTGGTGTCTAATGGAGAAGATAAAGATACTGAAGAAAACAGTATCTACCAAATTGGGTACTGTAAGTCCATTGCTAAATTAAGAACTTTACATATATTATCTCATGATTACCTCTATGGGAGAAAATATTATTCCTGCTTTACAGGTGAGAAAACTGAGACTCAGAGAAGATAAGTCACTTGGCCAAAGACACACAGTCAGTTAATATAGGAGCCAGGACGAGTGCACACTCATGAGCATTCTGTTAGAACACCAGGCATTTAAAAACATGAATGCAGAAAACCACATCAGTACGTACTCAGTGTGTGTGTGTGTGTGTTTGTCCCTGTGTATATACTTATATACGTACATATTCATATATAGGGATTGGCTATAGGGACTTGGATTACACAACTGTGGGAACTCCTAAAGCAGCCTGTGTCAGGCTGCTGTTATCAGGCTGAACCTGACACCGGGTCCTGAAGTTTAGAAGCCAGGCATTCAGGAAGGAACAATCACAAGCCTGACTGGAATCCCATTGGGATGGGCTGAAACCCATGTCCATTCCTGTTGCCTCTGACTTTGGTGTGAGCTTCCTGCAGAAGCTGCCCTTTTGCTAGCGCATTACACACACATATCTAGCCTGAAGTCAGAAGAGCTGAGAGAGAATCCAGTTTAAAAAAAAAAAAAAAAAAAAAAAGCTGTTGCAGAACCAGCTGCTGCTTCACACCGATGCAGTGAGTCAGCGGATCAGCTGCAAGGGTGTGAGCTACTAAATGGCTGCTGCTTCCTCTCCATCTTCCAAGTCTCAAACAAACATTTTCTTGTGGTCTACCTTAAAAAGACACATACGAAAGGTGGCTTCAGAGGAATGTCATTCTGCCTGGCTATGTCAAGACGTTTCAAAGTCACTACAATCACATGAAACAGAACTATGTCAGAGTAGTGGGGACACTTCTACATCTGGGGACACTCTTGCTGCATCTCAGAATTTTGTCTCATATGAGTTCCCCCAACCGTGCTTGTGCCACATGCCTTTCAACTTAAAAATGATAAGGTCTATAAATTTTGAAAGCCAACTTTATTTCTTACAGAGGGTTACAGCCTACGAGGTGCTCCTTCTGACAGGCTGGGAAGTATAGCCTCTGGCAGGGACCTTTAGCAGGCATTTCAAAGGAGAAAAGGTGAGACAGGAACTTATGCTGAAGGGGTTGGCTCAACATACATATTCAACAGATTATAGGAGGAGCGATGAATATTCATGAAGGTGTCCTGACCCATTGAACAAACATGCATATTACATATGACCCATATTTACTCTGAGGTGGAGACTTAACATTCAAATGCATGACAATTAAGCCTTATATGTCACAGTGTGAAGTAGGGACACAGGCACTCGGTGCACAGCTGCTGTAAACCAGCCAGAACCAGTCCATGGTCGGTGACCTCAACAGGAGACAGGTATTGAAATCAGCCCCTTGTCAATCAAAGCTATAGTTATGGCTGGTGGAGCAGGCGGTCAGTCCACGTTTCATGATTGGTAAGCTGCAGTTCCTTCAACATTGCTTATCTCTTGGCCAGTGCTTGTTTAGCTGCTAGAGAAAAATAAAAGCCTTGTGTCGGTAAGAACATAGTTTACTCTTTTAGCATAGGCTGCATGACTTAACCCTTTCCTGGCATTGCCTTAGGTCCTATTGATAACTTGGCATTTTATTGCCACAAAGAGTCAGTCCTATCAGTCTTATGACCTCTATTTTAACATTAGTGCTGGTCAGCTGTTGTGTCTAAACCGCAAAAAGGAGTGGGTATAAGGAGGCGTGTCTAACCTCCCATCCCATCAGGGCTGAGAACTAACATGTAAAGTTTTCTCTGGGGTCCCCTTGGCCAAGAGGGGGTGGGTTAGTCGCAGGGGGCTGAGGATTTTATTTTTAGTTCTCATGCCATACTTGTTTACTCATTAGCATATTTCAAAATTTTTCTTATCTAAATGTACCTATATTTGAGAATATTTCTATGTCTTCATGTTTATCAGTTTTTTTTTCTTCTGTAACATGTGATCTTCCATAAATCCCACCCAGTACAGTTTTCATCTCAAATTATTGTTTTCACTTCTGGTAATCTGATTTGGGCCTTTTTGAAATCTTCCATCTCTCTTCTTAGCTTTTTGAACACATAGAGCATAGTTACAATAATGATTTTAATCATCTTATCTGCTATTTGTTCATTTTTATCAACTGTGGATGAGTTATGATCTCCTTTTCTCTGCATCATAAAACATGTTTTCTTGCTTCTCTTGATGTCTGGTAATTTTTGTCTCAGAGCTAGACATAGTTATTTTTCTTCTTATGGGACATGTTTGCCATCCTATTCTTGAGCTTTTCTGGGAGAGACAGTAAGTTACTTGAAAGCAGTTTGATTCTGAGCCATTTGAGTTTTGCTTTTTATATATTTTAGGAGAGACCAGAGCAGTGCTTTGTCCAGCCCTTGATATTTCCCCCAGCTGGGCAAACCCCTTGTGCAGCCTCTCCAATGGGCTGTGCTTCTGAGGCCTTTCTGACTAGTGGGAAAAGGCACCATTCCAGGCCTGGGTGAGCTGTGGGCAGTGTTTCTCTCAATCCTTCCAGATGGTTCTCTCCCTGGGAGTAACTACCTTGGCCTCAGATGGTTTTTTCCCGTAGGCACATGCTGATTAATATTCTGTTGAATGCTGCAGGATTACGCTGGGCAGATCAGTGGAGTTCTCATTCTGGCTCTCTCATCTCAGGGACTCACTCCAGTAGCCTGCGTAGCCCCTTCGGTCTTCCTGAGGCCTCAGCTCTGCCTCCTCTGCTCAGGGAGTCACCAGGGTTCTTCTCGGTTTCCTCCTGTCTGGGCTGTGGCCTGGAACCCCCTCAAAGCAGCACCTTTGGGCCATTGTGGGGCTCAGTGTTTTTTACTGCACTCTCTCATGGGTCACTGCCCTTTGTTGCTCCATGTCCAGTGTCTCAAAAGCCATTTTAAATAGATTCCATCCCTCTTTTGGTAGGAGATGGATTAAATCCCTTTCATACACTTGAAGCAGAAGTTATCCACTGGTATATATTTGCATATGTGTTCTTCCTACCGGTTTTATCGAATGTATCCGAATCATGAATGCCGTGTGAGTCACACATTGTGAATCATGAACTTAGTGATGGCCAAGTAATAGGTTCTCACACAGCCAACATGAGGTTGGTGGTAAAGTCAAGGCCTCAGAAGTCTAAAGTTAACACACCACTACTTTTATGACCAGCAGAGACTGCTCAAAACGTTCCTAACAATCACAACCACAACCACAACAACAAGACAAACCTACAAGTAGTCATCTAATTATTTTTCTGGAGTTTTAATACTACGACAACATTTAATGACTTTCTCTGTCTTAAGCAGAGGGTTGGGAAGTGATGCAGAATTTATCATTGGGATATGAGGTTTGTGCAAATCGTATGGAGTGTGATGGAGGTTGTGGAGGCAAGCAGGCCAGATTTGGGCCCGAACTCTGCATTCCATGAAGTGGGACTTTGGTGGAGTCATAAAACATCAATAAGCTTCCACTTCTTTTCTGCAAATATAGCAGTATTGCCTGCCATGCAAGGCTGTTGCAAACACTGAGAAAATATATAAATCTCCTATACAGTAAGATCTCTAACAATGTTAACTACTACTGAATAATATTGCTATTGATTTAATATTTAATACTATCGCTATTTTATTTGTAATATTGCCATTATTTATAATTTTATTACTAATAATCAAACACAACTCAAAATCAGAGAAAATATTTTTCCCAGAAACGTTTTCACTTTGCATACCTATGACCAGCAGAGGCTGCTCAAATCATGAACTTACTAATGCATCCAAAGTCCCACGTCATGGAAATATTCTCAGGATTTGTCATTGTTCATGGTTTTTCCCTCATAGGCCATAACTACTCCTCATTGTTGTCCAAGTGGGACTGAGAGTTCCTTTCCACTTTGTCTGCAGGGTCTTCAAAGGCGTCCTTAGAAAAAGATTAATTCCAGTGTTTCTTATGCATGATCATTTGATTTTATTCCCCTATGCCCAAGCGTTAAGATGTTTTTTATTTTTTTTTCCTATTGGATCAAGTAGGCTATGTCCCAGTGTATAAATCTCACTTATTACACATAAATAAACTTAAAATATGATTGAAATCTCTATATGTGCTTTCCACTGCGTCAGACGGAAGTTTGGAGACAGAAGTGGTTGAACACAGGTCAGACGAATCATACGCCCTTCGCCCTTCGCCCTCCCTACCTCAGAGGTCGGATGTGGTGATCGGGGCTTTCCACATGTCTGAAATGTCTGACATGGATGTGGTTTTTTTAAGCAAACTTCTTAGAACTCTGTTTTATTTTACATTTACAGAAAAACTGAGAAAGCAGTACTGGAATCCCACAAGCCCCACACCACTTTCTGATGCCGTGAACGTTTTTCCTGGTGTGGTGCATCTGCCTCAGTCATAGAAGCAGTGTTGGTAATCAGCATCGTGGAGGCGGCGTCGGTGGTCAGCGTCGTGGAGGCCAGGTCAGTGGTCAGCGTCGTGGAGGTGGCGTCGGTGGTCAGCGTCGTGGAGGCCAGGTCAGTGGTCAGCGTCGTGGAGGTGGCGTCGGTGGTCAGCGTCGTGGAGGCCAGGTCAGTGGTCAGCGTCGTGGAGGTGGCGTCGGTGGTCAGCGTCGTGGAGGCCAGGTCAGTGGTCAGCGTCGTGGAGGTGGCGTCGGTGGTCAGCGTCGTGGAGGCCAGGTCAGTGGTCAGCGTCGTGGAGGTGGCGTCGGTGGTCAGCATCGTGGAGGCCAGGTCAGTGGTCAGCGTCGTGGAGGTGGCATCGGTAGTCAGTGTGGTGGAGGCAGCGTTGGTAATCAGCGTTGTGGAGGCCACGTTGGTAGAGTCATGGAGGCAGTGTCGGTAATCAGCGTTGTGGAGGCAGCGTCGTTAGTCAGCGTCATGGAGGCGGCGTTGGTGGTCACTGTCGTGGAGGCCACGTTGATAGCATCATGGAGGCAGCGTCGGTAGTCAGCGTCGTGGGGGCGGCGTCGGTAGTCAGCGTCGTGGAGGCAGTGTCGGTAGCGTCGTGGAGGCCGCGTCGGTGTTCAGCGTCGTGGAGGCCACATTGGTGGCGTCATGGAGGCGGCATTGGTAGTCAGCGTCGTGGAGGCGGCGTCGGTAGTCAGCGTCGTGGAGGCGGCGTCGGTAGTCAGCGTCATGGAGGCAGTGTTGATAATCAACATCAGCTCAGGGCGTCCTTGATCCGCGTCCCCTCAGTCTTCCCTCCTGCGCAGGATCCCACGTGACACTTAGTCCTCATGTCTCCGCAGCTTCCTCTGCTCTGTGACAGTTTGATGTGCTCTTTTCAAAGAATGTGTTTCAGATTCTTCTTAATTATTCCAAAAGCCCATTATCTAAAGTGGAATTCTAAATTTCCCTTTAAGACATAAATAGCCAGGGCCAGGCGCAGTGGCTCACTCCTGTAGTCCCGGCACTTTGGGAGGCCGAGGTGGGCAGATCACGAGGTCAGGAGATCGAGACCATCCTGGGCTAACACGGTGAAACACTGTCTCTACTAAAAAATACAAAAAATTCGCCGGGCGTGGTGACAGGTACCTGTAGTCCCAGCTACTCGGGAGGCTGAGGCATGAGAATGGTGTGAACCCGGGAGGCAGAGCTTGCAGTGAGCCGAGATTGAGCCACTGCACTCCAGCCTGGATGACAAAGCGAGACTCCATCTCAAAAAAAAAAAAAAAGACAGAAAGAAAGAAATAGCCAGGCACAGTGGCTCATGCCTGTGATCCCAGCACCTTGGGAGGCTGAGGCAGGCTGGGTTCAGTTAAGCCCAGGAGTTCAAGACCAACCTAGGCAACATAGTGAGGCCTTATCTCTACAAAATACAAAGGAAAATTGGCCGAATATGGTGGTGCAGGCTGTCGAGGCTGTGGCCCCAGCTACTCAGGAGGGTGAGGTGGGAGGACGGTTTGAGCCCCAGGAGGTGGAGCCCGCAGTGAGCCAGGATCACACCACTGTACTCCAGCCTGGGTATTAGAGCAAGACCTTGTCTCAGAAATAAATAAATAATAAATAATAAATAAAAACTGAAGTCCCATCCGACTTTGTTTTGTAAAGTAGACATTTATCTAACCCTTGCTGTGGTTGTTTGAGTTACAGAGCAGCGATGATCCTCCCAGGTGAGGAGCCGTGTCCTCTGTCCTCCTAGGTGGGAGGCGGGGTCTTCTCTGTCCTCCCACGTGGGGAGCAGGGTCTTCTCTGTCTTCCCGGGTGGGGAGCAGGGTCTTCTCTGTCCTCCTGGGTGGGGAGCGGGATCCTCTGTCCTCCTGAGTGGGGAGCAGGATCCTCTGTCCTCCTAGGTGGGGACTGGGGTCCTCTCTGCCCTCCCAGGTGGGAAGCGGAATCCTCTCTGTCCTCCCGGGTGGGGAGCGGGGTCCTCTCTGCAGCTCTCCCTGTCTCTGTCTGCCCGCTCTCCACCTCTCCTGCTTTCTTGTGCTCTTCCTCTTCCCTGCTTCTCTCCTCTTCCTTCTTTTCTTCTCCCTGCTTCTCTCTTTGTCTGACTTGCCCCTTCTCAGGAGTGCATATCCTCACACAATCTCCACCACAAGCATGTTCTGGTATTTCAGAATTTTTTTTTTTAGCCAAATCTTCAAAATTCCGTAAACTTTGGTTTCCTTGAGTCAAAAATGTAGAACATTCTAATACTCGTTGTGATAGTACTGAGTGCCAACTTGACTGGATTGAAGGGCACAAAGTATTGTCCTGGCTGTGTCCATGAGGGTGTTGCCAAAGGAGATTACCATTTGAGTCAGTGGGCTGGGAGAGGCAGGCCCACCCTCAATGTGGGTGGCCACCATCTAATCAGCCGCCGGCTTGGCTAGGATAAAAGCAGGCAGAGGAACGTGGAAGGACTGGACTGGCTGAGTCTTCCTGCCTCCATCTTTCTCCCGTGCTGGATGCTTCCTGCCCTCGAACATCAGACTCCAAGTTCTTCAGCTTTTGGACTCTTGGACCTTGGACTTACACTAGTGGTTTGCCAGGGGCTCTCGTGCCTTCGGCCACAGACTGAAGGCTGCACTGTCGGTTTCCCTACTTTTGAGGTTTGGGACTTGGACTGGCTTCCTTGCTCCTCAGCTTGCAGATGGTCTATTGTGGGACTTCACCTTCTGATTGTGTGAGTTAATTCTCCTAATAAACTCCCTTTCATGTATACATCTATCCTACTAGTCCTCTAGAGAACCCTCACTAATACACTCACCTTGGCGAGTTATTGAGAGAATTAAGTCAAATAACAGAATCAAAAGACTGACTCATGTCAGGAGCTGAAAGATCCAGTTCCTTCTCTCATTCACGCTCAGATTCCCTCATCTCCTGCAGCACCAAAGGCATGGGCGGCTCCCCTGTAGCACACAGGTAAATTGCAATTACGTGATCTCACACTGCCCACTGAATCCGGCAAAGGCTTAAACTTAGAACCCACTTTTTCTGTCTTCATTGCCCGCTGCCATGTACGTCCCTCTAGGACACTTCATTTCAGCTTACATCCTGAAACTCTCAGCTAGCAATTCTCTTCCCTGCCTCAGTTCTCCATTGTGATCAGCATGCCCTGGGCCTCCCCCAGGTTCCCTTCCTTCCCATCATTGGGTGCGTTCCTGCTTAGCGCCTTATCCCAGCTGCTCCTCACACCCTCACCTTTTTCCAGATAGATCTTCCTCTTCTGCACAGGCTCCTCCCGGCTTCTCATCTGTTCTGAAAGCCAGCACGATTCCACGATCCTCAGATCACATTGCACACCGAAGACCCCAGTGATCACCTACTGCCTGGAATCTTCGCCTTGCACCCCCACCCTCCTGTTCCTGCCTATCCAACATGGATTTCCTTACAGCACTGGCCTAGAACAAAATCAACCTGCAACTTTCTTCCATTTCTTCTGACTCAATGAAAACATGGATGCAGCTCTGTCTTCATCCAGGACAGGCCCCTCCTGCACTTGAATGACTTTGTGTACTTCTCAATGTCCTGTCCTGTTGAGTTTGCTTCGATTTCTATTTGTCTAATGAAATCAGTTCAACATTTTTGGAAAGGATTCCTACATTCCACACATAGTGCTGAGGGTAGGATCTCTGCTGAAAGCCACACCTGCTCAGGCCTACCTGCTGAAAGCCACACCTGCTCAGGTCACCTGCTGAAAGCCGCACCTGCTCAGGTCACCTGCTGAAAGCCGCACCTGCTCAGGTCACCTGCTGACAGCCGCACCTGCTCAGGTCACCTGCTGACAGCTGCACCTGCTCAGGTCACCTGCTGAAAGCCGCACCTGTACAGGTCACCTGCTGAAAGCCCCACCTGCTCAGGTCACCTGCTGAAAGCCGCACCTGCTCAGGTCACCTGCTGAAAGCCGCACCTGTACAGGTCACCTGCTGAAAGCCCCACCTGCTCAGGTCACCTGCTTCCTGTGCTGCAGGAAGACAGAGGGGGCTTCTACTTTCATCCGCCTTCCACATGCCATGCAGTGCATCTCATTCATGGGTTCTTATTGCCATCCACAATCTGCCGGCAAGGAAATTTGGAAAGTCTCCCCAGGTTTACATCTGTGTGATCTAAGGGGAAGCACGAGTCCTGCCGGAGAACTGAGCCCCAGCTCCCTAAGCCACTTGTGTCTTTCCACTCCCTACCCCAGTTGGTGCAGGGTTGTGTTTGTCAGTTGTGGAATGGGTGTCCTGGGAGGCACAGTGTTGTTTTAGTGCTGAGGGGACTGCCCCCTCTTTCACTAGCAAATGTTTAGGCAACATCGTAAGCGTTTCTCATGCAACAGCCCATTAATGTTCACATGAACCTGATTATGTAATGACTTAGTGACAAGGATTTTCTATTACAAACAGGAAGAGGGGGCTTCAGAGGTGAAGGCCCTGCCTGAGAGCACAGGACTGCTAAGTCTGGGCAGATGGAAGCAGGATGAGCCCACGGGACCTTTGCATCTAACCACTGCACGAAGCCCGGCCCTCCAAGAGTGGTGACTTGGGGAGACACCCCAGTGTGGTAGACCCCATGACAGAACCAGAGGAGAGTGGGAAACACCATGTTTGCCAGCCATGAGGAGCCATCCAGAGAATAATGGCGGCTCCCCAGGACAGAGACGTGCACACTGGAGCCGCCGGGCACCGTGAGCTCTGCTTTCGAGAGTGCTTGACATCTGGTCGCAGGGTGATTGTATTTTCTGTTACTCTTTTTATTCAGTGTAAGGTTTTCTTCTCCTTTTTATAGTCCTCTACTGAGTCCCTGGTTATCCTTGACTTAGAGCAATTCCATATCACATAGATCTCCAAATTCCCCAGACTAGAAAATGTGCTTTTGAACAAATTGTGTGGCTTTACTAGAGCATGATAATTGGCAAAAAGAAAACTTGGAAGACTCAGGGCCCAAAAGCCTGACAATCACAAATCAATCTCCATAGTTTTTGTCCACCCATTGTGGCAAAGGGAGAATCTGAACTGCGGTCTTGAAACCAGTGGCTGATGTGAAGCCCCTTGGGACGCAGTGGTGAGGGGCTCCTGCGTCAGAGTCATCTGGCTGCACTTCCGGTGCTACATGACCTTAGGGGAGTCACCAGGACTCCCCAAATAACGCCAACACCTCCAGCACGGAAGAGGGGGTGTTGGTAGTGACTACAGCATGATGACTAGTGGCACCAAACACTTTGCCACGCGGAATGAGCAGGGCAGTCCGTGGACACCCACGTGGTGTGGTATGTTCTTGAATGAGCCCAGATCATTGGTCCCCCCCCATCCACAGAGCATTCACACATCAGATCTTCTTACACGATTCACCCACACTGGAACAGAGGAGGCTGCTGTATTATTTTTGCTTGAAAGTGATGATAGTGATGGAAGTTGTGAGACCTTGGGTCTGGTCTTAGTTTAAAAGGATTTAAGCAAGAGACACACAGCAAAGGAGACGCAGCGTGAAGTAATTTTTTGCAAAGGAAAAATAATATTTTTACAGTTAGGTGCAGAATAAGACAGGACAGCTTGGGAGAGAGAGGATTCAGGGTGGGTGCTCTCCAAGGTGAGACAGCAGAGAGCAGCAGGAGGGAGGCTCCCTCTGTGGGAGTCTTCCACGATTACCCATGAGGGGGTGGGAGGAGGCGCTGCTTGGGGCATGTTCTGGGTGCTCCTCTGGATGCACGCATGGTAGTTGTCCGTGCTTGCTCACACGTCACATGTCTCAGGGTCTTGTATCTCCACCCATGGTTTGCTTTTTATGATTATAAAGAGCAAAGGGTCAGTTTGAGGACGGTAAAATCAAAGTGCACATGCTCTCTGCAGGGGAAATTCCCTACTGAAGGTAGCTTTGCTTGAGGGAGCTCAGTGACAATGTCAATGCTGAGGCTTGCTGTGTTGATTTTACAGTCACCACGTACACCGTACACCACTGTCCACCAATGTCCACCACCACTGTGGACCACCCAAGGACACGGCGACTTCCTTGACTACCTATCCTGACTCAGTGATTGGTATTTAATTTAAATTTTGGAACATTTTGAATTTAGTTTTTATCAGGGTTCTGCTTCTATCCAGTGCTGACACTTGTGGCAAACCCCGGTGGCATAGAAGCCTTGGTTCTCACATGGATATGTCACTCCCTTCTGACATATTGGCACCTGAGCATGACTTCTGCCTACAGAGGTAGGAGCATTGCAGCAGGCAGAGGCCGGCTGCACTGGTGGCTTCAGCGGGGACAGGAGAGGACTCAGGAGTGGCCCCAGGGATCACCCACAAGCACATATAAAATGGCTTTCAGGACTTCCAGCAACAGTCCAGGGAGGGGATGCTTTATACTGGGAACTAGAACAAGAGAAGTTATCGCTATGTACTGTTTACATACAGCTTTACAACAGGCTCTACTGGCCTGGAGAAAAAGGATAGAAAAGCAAACATACTCATTCATTATTACTTAAGAACAATTCATTCATCGAATCCAAAATATTCACAGAGCAGCAGCTGTGACAAAGCTGATCTGGGTGTCCCTGTTAAACGGAAAATCACATATATAAGAAAGCTTAATTTATGGATATAGAAAAAGAGTGAGGGATTTTGTCAAATTTTAAAACATGACTAACAAGTGAAGAGTTTAAAAATACCATTATTCTTGAACAAAATACTACACACCTAAGTAACAAACACGGGCGGTCATTGCTTGATATATAAGCGTTTCTGTGTTAGCAGATGACTGCGTCATACTTTTTGTTTGATGGTCAGAAGTGTGTGAAACGGGCACGTGCTGATTCTCTATTTTGAGGAGGTTTGTGTAATTTGTGTTGTCATGTTGCTCTGAAGCCCTCTGAGATGAGCCTGGGAGGTGTTGCCTTGGTGCACAGAGACATGTCACAGTGTAGACTGTGGCCCTCCCACGTTGATTCAGGGGTGCTGCGGCAGGCGTGTGGAGGGGACCCCACGCAGGAGCACCTCCTCATCCCTGAGGAGCTGGGGGACTCCTGGCAGATGCAGCCCCACCAAGCTGCCCTGGGGCCCCACAGTGCCCGGTGTCCGGCTTCAGACAGACAAGCAGCTGTCCTATCGCTTCCTCTTATTTTTAAGCCACTGCTTGAATGCTTCGTACTCATATAAAGGATCTCTGACATTGCTTTTCAGAATCGAGGAATTTCTTCATATCCTATGGCTTAGATTTTGCCAGATCAGAGGAAAATTGTGGCCACCCTGGGCAGACCTATTCCTGGAAATGGCCTTTGCCAGTGGCGAGATCTCTAATCCACAGGCATTCCGGCTGCCAAATTCCTGGCCTTTGAAGGCTGCAGCTGGGGAAAAGCCACTCTGCATCAGTTCATGTTTCTTTTTCAAACTTTCCCCTTCTATTATTTCACAACCAAACTCTGCCAGGGCCTGGCTTTTAGTTATTAAAGGGCCAAGCATCATTTTTTTCCAATGCTTTTAAAAAGGAGGGGAAGGGTTTCCCAGAGATACGTGGTGCCTTCCCCGTGCACACAGATGCTCCAGAATCACAGCCGCCTTCTATGAACTCTCGTGCAGGGCCTCATCTTCCATGGTTAATTTAGCAATAGGGATTGTGTGCTTCAAAGCGATACCTCATTCCTAGGTAGAAATTTATTTAACTTCAAAAACCTTTATTGTTGAATATATTAAGAACTACGTCTTAGTGATGATGATATGAGAAATTCATCTATCAAAACATCACTAGAGGGCCGGGCGTGGTGGTTCACGCCTATAATCCCAGCACTTTGGGAGGCCGAGGCAGGTGGATCACTTGAGGTCAGGGGTTCAAGACCAGCCTGACCAACATGATGAAACCCTGCATCTACTAAAAATACAAAAATTAGCCGGGCATGGTGGTGGGCGCCTGTAATCCCAGCTACTTGGGAGGCTGAGCCAGGAGAATTGCTTGAATCTGGGAGGCAGAGGTTGCAGTGAGCCGAGATCACACCACTGCACTCCAGCCTGGGCATCAAGAGTAAAACTCAGTCTGGAAAAAAAAAATCACTAGGCACCCCCATGATTATGTACAATTCTTTCTTGTAAATTAATAAAATACTTTTTTAAAAATGAGGATTATAGTTAAGAGCATTACATTAAAAAAGAAATGTCTATTTAATTATGAAAACTGAGATAATGAGGTAGAGAGTGGTTTTTTTGTTTTGTTTTTTTGTTTTTTTGAGATGGATTCTTGCTCTGTTGCTCAGGCTGAAGTGCAGTGGTGTGGACTCGGCTCACTGCAACCTCTGTCTCCCAGGTTCAAGCATTTCTCCTGCCTCAGCCTCCCAAGTAGCTGGGATTACAGGCACCTGCCACCACACCTGGTTAATTTTTGTATTTTTAGTAGAGACAGGGTTTCACTATGTTGGCCAGGCTGGTCTCGAACTCCTGAAATGAGATAGATTTTAAATGTTGTATATTGCAAGAGAGCAGTGAGAGGCAGTGAGAGACTGGGGGTGGGCAGGAGACAAGTGTGAGTTTGCAGCCGAGCTCCCAGGCGCCACCACTGTAGAGATGCAGGCAGGTCGTGTGTCTCTCTGAACCTCAGTTTTATCATCAGTAAAAATGAGGATGATCCTGCTCCTCCCTGGACTCCTGGTGAGGGCTGTAATGATTATATAAAATGAAGAGGGAGTGTGTCCCTGTATGAGGCATCAGGAGCCAGTGTGGCCTCCCTGGCAGCTTCTCTCTGCCATGGGCCCTGCCTTGCTGTGGCTTCTCAGCCACCCTACGATGGATGGGACAGGGTGGGCCAGACCATCTAGTCATATTTCTCCCAAAAGCTTCTTAGTTGGAGTGGTATTTTGCAACTGTAGAAGAAGTGGAAAAGATAAGTTATGGATTAATTTAGAAACGGCCAGATATGGTCCCATTTTTTGTGTGTTTTGTCATGCATCGAATGAGACATAAGTAGTGATTTGAAGAATACGCTGTTTAAAACTGGCTTCGGGCAGGAGATGGGGGAGGGGGTGTCCTGACAGCCCAGCCTTAAGGGAACTGTTCACTGAAGCTAAATTATCAGTGAGATAACTCACCAGAGGCCCCCACTGTCTGCCCTGGGATGTCTGTTTTAGGATGGACAGACTTGGCCAACATGCAAACAAAACAGGGCACCTCATTAAACTCAAATATCACACAAGCAAGGGATATTCTTTTAGTGTCATTATATGCCATGAAATGTTTGGGACATACTTATGCTAAAAAAAAATTACAGTCTACCCTCAATTGAAATTCAGCTTGTGTCCTGTATTTTATGTGGCAATCCCTGAGCTGACCTGCTGGGTCCATAGAGGGCAGCCTGGCTCATCCTGAAGGCTTGAGGTGTCCCCGTAAGCTGTGCAGAGCTCTGATTTCCTGATAAAGTCACCATTTCTGGTACTGCAGGGGTGACAATGTGTTCTACAAGAAATTTTAAATTCATTTCAAAAATTATCTAACAAAATTAATCTAAGAAATCCCACAATACCTGCATGACCACAGATAACCAAGTAATCCCATTACAATGACATGGCGTCCTTGTTCAGCAGGCGTTTCTTTTTGTGTTTCTCATTAAATGATCAGCAAGTGAGGTGACTTTTAAAAAACAATTACAAAGCTTTTTCCCCCAATTTTCAAATCTAGCTAGATGAATTTAGTTTGTATTTTTAAATGTTAAAAAGCAAGTTCAGATCAGTTCATCCATTTCTTCAAACCATGACTGTAAAGAAAACCGGCAGAAATTAAGCCACAGAAATGTGTTAAAGTACATTGCAGATGGGACTTGAACCCACAGTCCAGGAAACTTGGGTTTGAGGTAAAACCTCGTCTTAGCATATCTTGTACCTTGCTCTCATGCTGTATCTACTTTCATTTGCGTGTTCAAATTACAGTGTTCTAGTACACTCTGAAAGTGTTAATTTTCATGCTACAGTGGTTGCTTTCCACACAGCGACCTGAGGTTTTGGTTGAGTACAGTTAACGTGGTTGTAAAAACGTCTGATTAAACTCTCCTGACAACCGACCTTGCAACAAAAGTCATACAAAGACAGTGTGTTTTCAGCTTTTACGCTGTGTAAACTTACAAGTGAGACCTTTTCTGAAACTATTTTTTTTGATTAACAAATGTTTTGAAAAAGAGTTTTTAGAAACTTCATAAAATTAATCTTCTAGAAACCATAAGGCATTTTTGTTTACTTGAGAAGACCAGAGGTTGATGGTGCAGGTCCCTCCAGTGGCCCGAGGATCTCAGTGTTCTGGGCTATTGACTCTGCACTTTCCCTCGCCTTACCCTGTTGGTGGCAAGACAGCTGCTGGAGCACCAGGCGTCAAGTCCTTCTGCCTGCACTCTGGCAGAAAAGACAAGTCAGAGGAAGACATATTTCCCACAGAATTAAAATGACATGGCAGAAGATCTTTCCCGTAAGCCCAGTAATGAGCCTGGCCTCCGCCCTTCACCCGGTGCTCCGTATTTTGAGTCTACTTGTAATCAGATTTGGAGCTTCCGAGGGCTGCAGATTCAGCCTCAACTCCCTGCTCTCAGATTCTCTTTGATCCCAGCTTCATGAGAATGTTTGTTTTATTTTTGAATGTACTATGATTTGAATAGCTCACTTTCTTTCTTAACATTTTTAATATCGTGAAATATAACATAAAAATAGGCACAAGGCAAAAACATGCTCCTCAATTGTTTATCAAGAAATGTGACCACACCCAGGTCAGTACACAGAACGGCCAGAACTCCCAAAGGCCTGCGCTTTGTATGCCCTTCCCTGCGTTGCAAAGTTCACTATGCTACGGGCTGCAGTGCAATCACAGCTTCGCCTTTCTGCAGAGGCTTAGCTCAACATCACTAAGTACAACGGTGTTGCCTTCCTTTTGAATGTTACAGACATGTAACATCATGCAGTCTACAGTCCTTTGCAGTCTCTCGGTTTTACTTGTGAGGTTCAGCTGCTGCTACCTGTAGCCATGGTTCCTTTGGTGTCACTGCTGTACACCGTCTTATTCTGCCGCATCAATGTACCGAAGTTCATGTATCTATTCTCTGGTTGAGAAAAAAGTAGGTTTGTACAGTTAATACTAATAACATGGCTCTGAATAATCGTATGTGTCTCTCCATGCCCATAAACATAAATTCCCATTCAGGAGTGGAACTGCTAGGACCCCGGTGTAGACACCTTCACCTTTAGTAGACATTGCAAACCATTTCCAAAGTGGTTTCACCAATTTATGTCCCCCCGGCAGTGTGTGAGGATAATTCTCATCCACATGCCCTCTTGCGAATGCCTGGGACCAACAGTCTTCAACTTCAACCATTCCAGGGGTTGTGGAATAGCACCTTCCTCTTGACTTATTTTTCATTCCTTGATAATTATTGAGATTGAGCATATTTTCATATATTAGTTGGCCATTGGATATCTGTATCTCACATAATTTTGTTTTGAACTGATTGTTTTTGTTGTGTTGATTTGCAGAAGTTCTTTATGTATTTTTAATAAGAGTCCTTTGTTAAATGAGTCTCAAATATTTCCTTTTTCTCGGTGGCTTACCTTTTTACTCTCTTAATGGGTCTTTTGTGAAAATAATTTCTTAATGTATATGTGACCCCATTATAATTTTTCCCCCTTCTTGGCTGGCGCTAACTCCAGGATAGGGCTAACTTACTGGCTTATACCTGCATTTTCCTTTCTTCTAGTATACACATTCAAGGCCATAAATGTCCCTTAAGCATGGCTATAGTTGTATTTTGTAAGTTTCCATGTGGAGTATTTTCCTTGTCATTTACTTCATATTAATTTTTAGTTTACATTTTTAATTTGGCACATGCTATTTGGAAGTACATTGTTTAATTTTAAAACATATGAGTATTTTCTAGTCATCTTTTTGTTATTAATTTCTGGTTTATTACACTGTGGTCAGAGAATGTGCTCGGTATGATGCCAATACTTTAAAATGTAGCGGGATTCAGAGTTGGGTCAAGCTTAGCAAATGTTTCAGAAGCGCTTGTGAGACAACAACAAAAACATCTTCACAAGCAGTGTCTTATTTCAGTCGTGCAGAAAGCTAAGGCATTAGCACTACCATTACTTACATTCAGAGGGAAAGACATTAAATGAGGTCATACTTGTTAAAACTTTTGAAGACAGAAATATATTTTCAGTAAATTATTATTACTTTAGATTTTTTATTTCATGCTCTGAGCTAATTATTGACTTCAGGTATTGTGTGGTTAGGGGAAGGTTTGGGTTTGGTAACTGTGGAAACCCAAATCCTCACTACCTGTGTGGGTGGCCAGGAGGCCTGTGTTGCTGTCTCGCCCTGGGAGGGTGGCTCCTCCAGTGTGGGATGTGTTGTAGGTGTAACATACACACCGATTTCAAAGACTCTGTAGGAAAGAAAGAATGTAAAGTATGGAATTAATATTGTTATATTGAGTACATGCTGGAACAGTAACCTTAGGGATAGACTGGGCTAGATCAAACGTATCGTTAAAGCGAATTTCATCCTTTTTTACGTGATTAAGGCCGCTCCGGGAAGATTGAGGTAGTGCTGGCCGTGGTGCTTTCTCTCAAGCAAAGTGCAGGCCTGGGAACGAGCACTAACTAACCACAGCTGCTCACTACGACCTACAGGTGCTCTGGATTTTAACCTGTTTTAACTGCCCAATGTCACGGCCATTTTCCACATCTTTTCTAAATCTACATTTATAAACATAAATACAAATGAATTGTATTTACATAGTTGTGTATTCAACTGTAGATAATCAGAAATTGACAATGGTTTAAGTAATATTTTTCCTGCTACCGTTTGTTAGAAGGAACTTGGAAAGAGGGAATGACGGGCTCTGCGCACTCGGGATGTCTGCCGGGAACATGAGTCTTCCGTTGTCCACCCTTCATTGTCTCTTAGGTTCAGAATGGCTGCCACACCCCCAGGCATCACGTCAGCATCCCAGCAGGAGGAAAAACCTGAGTCAAAAGCATTTGCTTTGTAGGACTCTGTCTTTTCCTTCAGGGAGGGATATCTGCCCCTGTCCACAGCTTACAGCTCACTGTGCAGAAATGAGTATTACTGTCTCCATAGGCCCCAGGGAGGCCAGGAGCTGAGCCCACACTGAAGGCAGGACAATGAAGGGTGGGAAGCTACAGGCCATGCCATCCTCCCGGGGGAAGAAGCCATAGCACCTTGGGTTACCAGGGTTTGACATAGCTCTTCCAACATTCCAAAAAAAAAAAATGAGGCGACAAAGCATAGTTTCTAAAAGTTTGAAAAAAGGGTTTTTATTAAAAGATCAACAATATAGTTTCACTAAAATATGCTTTTTAGAAAAGACTCGTTTATGTTTTTTATCTTTCTCAACCTGAAATCCAGCTCTGATGTTTTATTGTTGCGGGTCCGTGGAGATGAATCTCTGCTGGTCTTCCCTCATCGGCTTTCCTGACCTTGTGAGGGGAAGACCAGGGTGCTTGACACAAAAGACTTCTTTTCACAGGCCCCTCATCCGGAGTCGGGGCTGCTCTCCTTTCATGGTGGGCACAGGTGGTCTCGTGTTTACATCTGAGCCCTGCTGTTGGCGTTCATGCCCCCAGAGGAGTCCTGCCCCAGAATCAGACTCACTGCATCTTCCTTTTTGAAGACAAAGTTGTATTATGTGATTTCCTTTTGCTTTGCACAAAGCAAGATGCTCCCACCGAGGCTGGGAGCCAGTTCTGTATCTTTCAAGTCACAAGCGATCCTTGACCTCAGGGTCTAAATGACTCAGGGAGGCCCCGAGAGACCAAGGTCCTGTCCAAGCCCACAGAGATGTTGCTCAGGGAGCACTTTTCACTTGAAAAGGCAGCCACACCAGTCTCTCCCCATCTGAGGAGCCCCCGACCAGGCCGGGCCCCGTGCTCTTTTCCTGTCAATTAGATCACCTTTATTTGGCCCCTGCTGCACTGAATCATGTCTTCTGGAACATCTGCAATGGATACCTGTATCTTGTACTTAAGCACAGCCTCAAACATGTTCTCACTGGGTTTGCTGCCATTTCCTTCATCTCACTTTTTTTTTTTTTTTCTGAGACGGAGTGATAAGATTTATTTTTTTATTTTTATTTTTCTTGAGACAGAGTCTCGCTCTGTTACCCAGGCTGGAGTGCAGTGGTACGATCTCAGCTCACTGCAACCTCTGCCTCCCAGGTTCAAACGGTTTTGCTGCCTCAGCCTCCTGAGTAGCTGGGATTACAGACATGCACCGCCACACTCATCTAATTTTTGTATTTTTAGTAGAGACAGGGTTTTGCTGTGTTGGCCAGGCTCAGCCTTGAACTCCTGACCTTTAGTGATCTGCCTGCCTTGGCCTCCCAAAGTGCTGGGATTATAGGTGTGAGCCACCATGCCCGGCCAAGACAGGGTGATGAGTTTTAAAGAGTAAGATCTGTGTTTATAGTGAGTGCTGGTAAATAAATTTGATGTCTTTTTATTACATTCATTTTGCAGATACAAAATAACTTACTTGGGTACTAAGCCTCTTGATAAAAAATGACTGAGCCAAAAATCCACGTTTTCCTTCATGACTAAGACGGTATGGATATTTCTCTGCCCAAATTTCATGTTGAATATGGAATGTTGAATGGAATCCCTAATGTTGAAGGGAAGTGACTGGGTTATGGGAGTGGATTTCTCATGAATGGTTTAGCCCCATCCTCTTGACACTGTCCTGTTGAATGGAATCCCTAATGTTGAAGGGAAGTGACTGGGTTACGGGAGTGGATTTCTCATGAATGGTTTAGCCCCATCCTCTTGACACTGTCCTCATGATAGTGGGTGCTCACAAGATCTGGTTGTTAAAGTGTGTGGTGCCTCCCACTCTGCTCCTGCTCTCACCCCCTCAGATGTCCACCCTCTCTTCGCCTTTCATTATAATTAGAAGCTTCCTAAGGCCTCCCCAGAAGCTGAGCAGACATCATCACCACACTTTCTGTACAGCCTGCAGAACCATGAGCCAAATAAACCTCTTTTCTTTATAAATTACCCAGTCTCAGGTATTCCTTTATGGCAACCCAAGGACAAGCTATACAGTGAAGCCACATGAATCCCATTAATGCAGTGCGCACTGTAATCAGATTGCTTTCTAATTCTATCTAATTTTCTTCATTTAACATGGGTTGCAAGAATAGTTATATGTAACTGCAGTCAACCCATAAGATGGAACAGGGTAGTTGCTAAAATAAAGCAACATATCAAGAAGTAAGTTTTGAAATTTTTTTTATTAATTGAAATTGGATGATCACTTTTAACTTTATTCATAAATCTATCAAAACTTTAGACACGTTTTGCTAAGCAAAAAGGTATTTTAATAC
Organism: Homo sapiens; assembly: GCF_000001405.40. Taxonomy (NCBI): domain Eukaryota; kingdom Metazoa; phylum Chordata; class Mammalia; order Primates; family Hominidae; genus Homo; species Homo sapiens. Next base: position 159,239 of record NW_004166862.2, read on the forward strand.
AATTTTTTTTATTATTATACTTTAAGTTTTAGGGTACATGTGCACAATGTGCAGGTTAGTTACATATGTATACATGTGCCATGCTGGTGTGCTGCACCCATTAACTCATCATTTAGCATTAGGTATATCTCCCAATGCTATCCCTCCTCCCTCCCCCCACCCCACAACAGTCCCCAGAGTGTGATGTTCCCCTTCCTGTGTCCATGTGTTCTCATTGTTCAATTCCCATCTATGAGTGAGAACATGTGGTGTTTGGTTTTTTGTCCTTGTGATAGTTTACTGAGAATGATGATTTCCAATTTCATCCATGTCCCTACAAAGGACATGAACTCATCATTTTTTATGGCTGCATAGTATTCCATGGTGTATATATGCCACATTTTCTTAATCCAGTCTATCATTGTTGGACATTTGGGCTTTTAATACAATTAAACAAATATATATGTACATGTTCACACATGGGTATGGTAAAAAAAAAAAAAAAACTGATCGCTGAATTGCTTTTGTTAAGAAGCCAAACGACTGTACCTCAGTCTCTGGCAGCAGGATCCTGAGCCTGTTCTTGCAGGAGCCTGAGCCTGTTCTTATGATAACAGACAGCTCTGAACACAAATGTGCTGGTCTTCTTCAGCTTCACCCTTTCCAGTTCTCTATCTTCAGTATCTGTCTCGGGACCCACCTGTAACCTCCCTCGTGTCTTCCATTTCCGAAGGCAAGTTCCTTAGGTAGGAACCATCTCTGTGAAAGGGGAGGCTGCAATGGTGCCATGAAGAAAGACTGGGAATGGTTTCCGTGAAAACACAGGCAGGCCGGGCGCCACTTCTGAGTCTGATGTGTTTGACAACATCCTTCCGGTCTCCTTCCATCTTCTGCTCCTTCCTCTTCCCTCTGCCGAATTTTGCTCTTCTGCAGTTCTTGAGGCACATTTTAGGCCCTGACCAATAAAGACGTAAACAAGCACAAGCGGAAAACAAAACTAGCTTAACGAGTTCACTGCTAATTATTGCCTGTTAGCATGAAAAGAATAGCACAATTCTTCACATTTTTGGTTAAGGAAACGTTACCCACACATTCATATGTAAATTGATTCTGACCAAATTGTTTGGAGTGGGAATTTTAGTTTATCTGTGAGCACTGTCTCTCAGGGGCTGAGAATGAGCCCAGCAATGGGAACCATCGCATGCAGGAACACACACCCGCAACACAGACACATGCATGCAAACACAGCAGCACGTACACATGCAACGCTACACACAATGTGCACAATGCACACACACATGCATACAAGCACAGCAACACGTACACATGCGACACCACACACACATACAGTGTGCACAGTGCACACACACGCACACAAGGACAGCAACACAGACACATGTGACACCACACACACATGCACACAAGCACAGCGACACATACACGAGATACAATGCACACACACACATGCGCACACACACATGCACACACACAGCAACACATACACATGTGACACCACACACGCACGCACAGTGTGCATGATGCACACACACGCACGCACAGCAACACGTACACATGTGACACCACGCACAGTGTGCACAGTGCACACACATGCACACACACCCCACACACACTCACATCACAACTAAAAGACTGAAGCATCGTCGAGAGGAAACCTTCCAAAGCCATTGTATCTGCAGTGATATTGCCTATAAATCTCAGTCCATGTATTTAGTATGCAATAACTATCGCTAGCCTTATTATTGAAAATGCTATTTCTTTGTATTTCTGAGCTCAAATTTCACTAAGATTGGGGTAAACCTAACTTTAATTATTCTTCAGATGTATGCCTCAGTTTAGGAGACTTGCACGGGGCCAATAGGTTATTTACCTAGTATTTATATAATGCTCACCCAGTGTCAGGCACTGCTTCAAATGCTTGGTAAATATTAACTCATTTAATCCTTACAATAAATTCAGAGGGATGCGTGGTTTTACAAATGAGGAAGCTTAAGAACAGAGACGTGAAGTAACTTGCCTAAGGCGACATAGCATTAGGAAGGGAGTTGGCATCTGAACTCCTTGCCTGGCTCCAAACCTCATCCTCTCGGTCAGACCTCCTGAGGCCACAACATCTCTCTGCTCGCTTGGCCTTCTAGTTACAACACCCACCAGGCTGGGCCCCAGAACTATTTTGTGAAGGTGTCTGTTGACCCGGTTTTCCTAAACACACCTTATATTCCTGTCTGATGCTTCTTTACTTCACGCCAAGAAGCAAAGGACTGTCTCCAACTGTCTCCAAATGCTTAGACCTCCCCTCCGCACACGGAGGAGGGGTCTCCGTCTGTCATGGTGCTGGCATGCACCGGGGTCCTTTTTCTATCCCAGCCACTTCCAAGATGCCCTTTCCAAGACTTACCTGGTTTACAAACACCGTTCTTTTTTGTCTGAAAACTTCCAAGTTCTCCTGAAAGCCTAGGCTTTGGGAAGACCAATTCTTGATATGCAGCTACTTCTGTGTGAAGAGTGAGAAGAGAAGGAGGCGGTGGCAGGGAGAGGAAAACCCCGTGTGTGTGCACATTCCAAAACACCCACAGCCACAAACGGCAGATCCGATGTTTTATGGTACCTTTTTACTAAATGGTTGTGTTTCTTTCCTTCGTTCTACTGGCCCAAGTCCTAGGTGCTTACCACCATCAGCTGATGAGGAGGGCTCATTGGATGCTGCCGAGATTTGAAACAAGAGTCTTCCAAACCAAGGTTTCAACTGTGAAGTCGTTTCTTGCTTAAAGGGCCAGTGGAATCTCCTTAAAAAGGAATGGAACATCTTAGCACTCTGTATCTTTTGGCTGAGACGTATGCTTCAAAATAAGTGTTTTCCTGTAAACGGGTCCTTACTAAGTGTTGGGGTGAGTGAATATGTGCTCTTGAAATGTGTTATGGTGGAACGAAAGCTTCAGTCACCTGCAGACATTTCCCCGGCGGAGATAAGCTTCTTCCAGTCTGGGCCTGGAGTTTCCCTTACTCCATCGGAAAGGAACCCAGACTGGTGATAATGACAAGTTGGCAGTGTGGCTTTCATGCACCAGGGCCAGTGATGGAAATACTCTCTTACCCGAGGCTCGCAGAATGCTATAAACTTGGGGATGGAGGGGCCACAATGCTGGAGGGAAAAGCATAAAGCAGCCCGGAGACAAGAAACAGACTCGCCAATCAAATGCTGTGCCTTTTCCCTCGGTCCCAGGATGGCTGCCCTCATGATTCTGGTGTAGTCCCTGTCATCCAGCGCCACTGTGCCGGGCTGGCAATGCCAGTGCTCCATATTAGACAGAAGGACAAAGAAAGCTTTTAATTTAGTATCAGAGTAATGAAAACGCCTTCTTCCGCGGATACTGTAACACTGGCAGGGTTTTAAGTAAATGGAATCAGATATTTAAAAAGGATTTGCCGAAAGGAATTAGGAAAGAATGCTTCAAAAACATTTTAAATGCTGCTTAGTAGAGGCTCAGTGTTCACCTAAATCAAAGATGTTTTCCCCATATATTTATTTTAATAATTTAAAATATGTCTACATGTACTAATTACCTATATTTATCTATCTGAATTTTTTCTTCAATGACCAATATACAATGAGTGGTATATACTGCATGTGTACTGTTTTAAAGACATACTGTATATTTAGGAAAAGGGGTTTCACATTTCTGCCACTTTGTGGATCCCTCTGCTTGGCTATCTTTTTAAATTTATAGGCCTTATTTCCCATTAAGACTGGAACACCTTCCAAAATATTTTCTTTTTTTAGACATCTATAATAAGATGAAATAACAGTAGTGGCAAATTCACTGCGCTCTTGAAGCATCTGTTGGAGCTCTCTCTTTGTGGGGGTAAACCAGCCGCCAAACAGATCACCTGCACGGAAAGTCCTTTGCTCATTTTGTGGATCTGAGTTGCTGCCAACTTTTCCGGGTGTTCATGTTCAGAAGGAGAAGCAAGATGGCCCTGTTAAAAAGTCCTACATGGCATTTGTCAAGGATGTTCTGCTCAGGAGAGAGACTGAGGCTTCCGGTGAGAAAACCCTGCAGGCTGGGGAAGTGCACCTCGAGCTGACCCCTTGTTCAGGGAGCTGATGAAGGCACATGCCATGGGAATGAGAAAGCCACTCCTTAAGCATCAGTAACAGAAGGTGCCATGTGGATAATACAGGGGCTGAAAAATCATAAGATTATTTGGGTGTCCCCACCCAAATCTCATCTCGAATTCCCACATGTTGTGGGAGGAATCTGGTGGGAGGTGATTGAATCATGGGGGCAGGTCTCTCCTGGGCTGTTCTTATGATCGTGAGTGGGTCTCATGAGATCTGATGGTTTTAAAAACAGGAGTTTCCCTGCACAAGCTCTCTTCTCTTGTCTGCCACCATGTGAGACATGCCTTTCACATTCCGCCATGATTTTGAGGCCTCCCCAGCCACACAGAACTGGGTCCATTGAACCTCTCTTTTGTAAATTGCCCAGTCTCAGGTATGTCTTTATCAGCAGCATGAAAACACACTAATACAGGTAGGTTCAGACAAAGAGTCATTGGCTCCACATGGTGGCAGCTCCTATGCCTCCTGCCTGAGCTGAGGGTCTGTGGCTGCAGGCCCAGCTCAGGAAAGGAGCTGCTGGAAACTGGAATGATATGAAATAGACCCATCTACAGTTTTTCTGGTCATCTGTTAAAAAAGAATTTAATGCTTACAAGATAACTATCATTGGTAGTAATAGTCTAGGCCCATGACATTCTTTAATATTTGGGAGTATCAGAACTTTAAAGATTAGACTTAGTTATAAATAGAATATTTATTTAGGAACTTAGAGACATCTGGGCATTTCATGTCATGAAAGTAACAAAACCCTCCCTCTTTGCACGGCTCCAGTACAAATCATGACTGCTGTTGGAGAGGCTCTGATACGCTGTGCGTGCAGATGGTGCCCGAGAGCCGGGGAACAGCAGCATCTCACCCGGGCTTTCTCCTTTCCATCTGGCAGGTGCCAGCTTCTAACCACCATCAGCTGCCATGTCCACTGCCATCTGTTTAGCTAATGGACAGGGAGCACCTACTGTGGGCCAAGCCCCCGACAGGCACCAGAGATTGGGTGGAGATAGACAAAACCAAGCACAGACAAATTCAATTAGTTGTTTTCTGGAGGAAAGAAACAAGAACCATGCATGAGAACATCTTGTTCTTGACATCTTCAACCAGACACTGAGGTCGGCTCTCGTCAGCAGCTGGGTCTCCTTGAGGTTCACTGGATGGGGAGGTTGTCTGCATTTCACGTTTTAATTAATTTTTAAAAGTTACTTAGATGAATTATTTCATTGGCTACGTATCATCCTGTGCCAAAAAACAAACTGTGAAGCCCAGCAGCATATATATTTTAAAATGCAGTTACAAAAAAGCATAAATATGAAAACAAAAACAAACAACTAACCATTATTGATTGTGTCATACTAAAACACTGTTTTAATTTTGTGGTATGTTTTGGGGACTTTTTCCAATTTATTCTCTGAAATAATGTTGTATTCAGAGCGTACACCAAGAATAGGAGCCCGTTTTTTATCCATTTAAGATTCTCTCCCGTTTCTATCTATTGCTCATTTGCTGAACCTCTTGTCTCTTTGACTAACAGTATTTAAAGGTCTAATGAAATATTTCAAAGCAGTTATGAATAATGAGGTAATAGATGAGTACAAGCCACTAGCAGAAGACATGAAATGTGGCAAATGCTGCAAAGCAAAGGCTTCACTTCCATCGCTGCCTTCTCCCATTCCTCAAGTTATCACTGACTGCATTGGTGTTTATTCTTCCCAAACATCTATTCGTATTTTACTACAAATGTATGGAGGCTTGTGCAATATTTGATATTGATCTATTTTTTTAATGTGTATAAGGGGAATCTTACATTATACATTTTTCATGACTGGCTTCATATGTTAAACATGTTCCTCATGAGATTAATTCAGGTTGAGGTGTGTAGACACTGTTTATTTATTACCACATCAATGAATGCATTACTATTCACACAGTCCAGTGTTTTCGTAGACGTTTACTTGTTTCCAATATTTCATCCCATTAGACCCTTGTGGAAGGACTTTTTCTACACTGGAAATCTAGGAGTGGAATAGCCGGGCCCCGGAGACACAGGAACACACTAGAAATCTAGGAGTGGAATATTTGGGCCCCGGAGCCACAGGAATGCGCTGGAAATCTAGGAGTGGAATAGCCGGGCCCCGGAGCCACAGGAACACACTGGAAATCTAGGAGTGGAATAGCTGGGCCCCGGAGCCACGGGAACGCACTGGAAATCTAGGAGTGGAATAGCTGGGCCCCGGAGCCACGGGAACGCACTGGAAATCTAGGAGTGGAATATTTGGGCCCCGGAGCCACGGGAACGCACTGGAAATCTAGGAGTGGAATATTTGGGCCCCGGAGCCACGGGAACGCACTGGAAATCTAGGAGTGGAATATTTGGGCCCCGGAGCCACGGGAACCCACTGGAAATCTAGGAGTGGAATAGCCAGGCCCTGGAGCCACGGGAATGCACTGGAAATCTAGGAGTGGAATATTTGGGCCCCGGAGCCACGGGAACCCACTGGAAATCTAGGAGTGGAATAGCCAGGCCCTGGAGCCACGGGAACACACTGGAAATCTAGGAGTGGAATAGCCGGGCCCCGGAGCCACGGGAACGCTCTGGAAATCTAGGAGTGGAATATTTGGGCCCCGGAGCCACGGGAACGCACTGGAAATCTAGGAGTGGAATATTTGGGCCCCGGAGCCACGGGAACGCACTGGAAATCTAGGAGTGGAATATTTGGGCCCCGGAGCCACGGGAACGCACTGGAAATCTAGGAGTGGAATAGCCGGGCCCCGGAGCCACGGGAACGCACTGGAAATCTAGGAGTGGAATAGCTGGGCCCCGGAGCCACGGGAACGCAATGGAAATCTAGGAGTGGAATAGCTGGGCCCCGGAGCCACGGGAACGCACTGGAAATCTAGGAGTGGAATAGCTGGGCCCCGGAGCCACGGGAACGCACTGGAAATCTAGGAGTGGAATAGCTGGGCCCCGGAGCCACGGGAACGCACTGGAAATCTAGGAGTGGAATAGCTGGGCCCCGGAGCCACGGGAACGCACTGGAAATCTAGGAGTGGAATAGCTGGGCCCCGGAGCCACGGGAATGCACTGGAAATCTAGGAGTGGAATATTTGGGCCCCGGAGCCATGGGAACACACTGGAAATCTAGGAGTGGAATAGCCGGGCCCTGGAGCCACGGGAATGCACTGGAAATCTAGGAGTGGAATAGCCGGGCCCCGGAGCCACAGGAACGCACTGGAAATCTAGGAGTGGAATATTTGGGCCCTGGAGCCACAGGAACGCACTGGAAATCTAGGAGTGGAATATTTGGGTCCCGGAGACACAGGAACACACTGGAAATCTAGGAGTGGAATAGCTGGGCCCCGGAGCCACGGGAACGCACTGGAAATCTAGGAGTGGAATATTTGGGCCCCGGAGCCACGGGAACGCACTGGAAATCTAGGAGTGGAATAGCCAGGCCCCGGAGCCACGGGAACGCACTTGAAATCTAGGAGTGGAATAGCTGGGCCCCGGAGCCACGGGAACCCACTGGAAATCTAGGAGTGGAATAGCTGGGCCCCGGAGCCACGGGAATGCACTTGAAATCTAGGAGTGGAATAGCCGGGCCCTGGAGCCACAGAAATGCACTTCTCCAACTTCAGACGCAGCCACGTTGTCTCCCAGTCGTTGCAGGAATCCCACTCCCATGAGTGTGGAACAGTTCCCTTAACCCTCTCCAGGTTTCTATTTTGTTCATAAACTTACTTATTAGTCCAAATTCTCCAGAAAAACAGAACCAATGGGAGGTAGAGAGATATAAGAGCAGATGGATTATGAACATTGGCTCCTGTAACTATAGAAGCTGAAGAGTCCCATGATCTGCTGTCTGCAAGCCGGAAAGATTCTGGTGTTGCTGAGTCTGAATCTGAGGCCTGAAGGCTGGTGAGCTGCTGGTGTTGACTGAGGAGTCCAAGACCAGAGAACCTAGAGCTCCAGTGTCCGAGGGCAGGAAAGGATGGATGTTCCAGCCCACGGAGAGAGAGGGAGGGAGGGAGGGAGAGAGAGAATGTGTATTTCTTTTCCCTGGTAAAGTTGAGTATCCTGTACTCAGTTTACTGATTCAAACATTAATTTCATCCAAAAGGATCCTCACAGAGACATCCATAATAACATCTGAGCATCCCTCAGCCTAGTCAAGTCAACACGTAAGATTAGCCATCATAATTATGTTGCTTTACAAGTACTGACATAACGAATTGTGATATCTTGTAGCATAATTTTCATCATCTTTTTTCTTCTTTCTTTTGTGCCTGTATTTTTGTGACTACTTTATGACCTTTGTTCTTTATTATAAGGCCTAGACAATCTTGCCATATTTTGTAAAAAAAATCCTGCTGAGATTATAATGTGAAGGGCATGAAATCTATAAATTATTTGCAGAGTTTTGAGATCTTCACAATATTGAATCTTTTTATCCATGAACATGGTAAATATTTCCATTTACTTATGTTTTTAATATGCCTCAAAAATTTGTAATTTTCTCTATTTGTATCTCATGAACATTTTGTTAGTTACTTTCTATTTTTGTGGGGTTTTTTTCTGTTACATGTAATGTTTCTAAGTCTTGAGTTATTCTTTTTGATGGTGCAAGGGAGTATAATGGAATTTTAACTGTGATTGATAACTATTTTAATTTTTCCTATTAACCTATTTAGAATAGTGCCTGCTCTATATTGAATACTACATAAATGTTTGTTAAAAAAGTAAGGAAAGCTGCTCGTTCTCTAAGTTAACTCTCGGGTAGCTCGGGAATGATTACAACATCCTCTCTTCCTATCCTGCACTTTGTGTTCCCCGCTCAGTGCTAACATGCACCTCCAGCATAACACTGAATAGAAGCTGGGGTCATGAGCTTCCTTGGTTTCATCTGAAGTCTTCTGGGGAATGTTGCTTCCGTGTCACTGTAAGTTCTGATATTTGACATGGTTACTTTAGTTAGCCATACCTTATTGGAATAAGAGTGTTCCTTTATATTTTTAGTTCGCTAATTTTTTTTAATCTCACCATGTAGGATTTTTTCTCCTTGATTTTGTTGCCATAGTAAATTTTGAAAAGCATTAATAGGTTTTCTAACGTTTTTGTCTTGTTGACTTAGAATGTACTCAACTACATCATGATGTAAATATTTTAGTATATTTTTTCTGGATTTTCTTTCTTAACATTTTGTTTATTACTTTTGCATCTATATTCATCAATAAGATCGACATGTTTTATTTTTATGCTATATTTTGCTGGGCTAAGATTTTGATATCGTATTCAGTGATTTGGGGAGTGTTCCTCATTTCCTGGTCTCTGGAAGAATATGTGTGGTTATACAGTTATTTGCTCATTTAATGATTACTAGAACACATCTCTAAAAAGACTTTGAGCCGGGGAGACATTTCTTTTCTGTGTATACACTTTTAACATTTATTTCCATTAATAGTCATAAAGAATATTTGGTGAGGACTGAAAGGTGCCGAGGATCTGTCTGAAAACTGAATGCAAAGGACAAAGCGACAGCAGACGGGGCAGGCGAGACGTGAGGCGAGACGTGAGGCGAGCCGTGAGGCAAGCCGGCTCATAAACGCTCCTAACGGGGAAAACAGACGAACGAGGAGTTGGTGATAATATCAGCCAGTAACACCTGTTAAGGCTTCCTGGCTCCCAGGCACTTGAGAACTATACTTCTCCAAATTAGGTTGGTTCTGTTATCTTCCTTCTACAGATAGGGAAACTGAGGCATGGCGCATTTAACTAAGAGGTCTTGGATCCCACAGTCCTTAGTGGTGGAGCCGGGATTTAAAACCAGGCAACCTGACACCCCAGCGGGTGCTGTCAACTCTGTCTCACGTTTTTTACTGAGGGTGTCTGTGCCCAGCATGCTTCAGGAGGTCACTCCCTGGTGCTGAAGGAAGGCACAGGCCTTCGGGGATCAGTAAGTGACGGGCAGTATGTACATGTCATAGCACACGCCTGTGTATAGTCTTGTGAATTTCAAAGCATCCAGGATGAAGTTAGGGAGCCAGAGGGAAGGAACAAAATTCCAACTGCTTTCAGAAAGAAAGGCGCTAACTCAAAAAGCAGCAAGCAGCGAGCAGCAGTGATCAGGTTGGCATGAAATTGTATTGGTTGTTGCATCCTGGAGGCAGTGGGGTTAGATGTGTAAAGATCGGAGGAACGGTGACAGGTACCCCTGGCTTGCCAAACTCTTTCACTGTCTGAACTCAAGAACCAAACAGATTTGGATTTCTTGGTATTGCCCAATAGCAAACTGGCTATCAGGTTCCAATTACACTCACATTCTTCATCCACAGACACCAGAAACTCTTGTGTCCAAAAAATTAAATTTATTTAACTTTCTGAGACAAGGAAGAGTGGAATTAAAATGAACCAGGAAACCCTTTCAATAAGGGGGAGTTAAGAGGGGCTTCTGATAGGATAGGGGCTTGTGCTAGGTGATCCCAAGGAGAGATTAAGGAGAGGGGAGCCAATGCTTGATGGGTGAAGATATCTTCATGCATTTCGTCCTGAGAGGGGAGATTCAAGAGGGGCGCGCGTGGCCACGGATGAAGTGTCAGGCGTCCCTGTTAGTCCAAGGGGGCTGCAGGGTGGTGTCTGATGTGTGGTGGGTTTGCCTCCCTCCTGCTCCAGGCCCTGCCGCGGTGTGGTCTCAGCTCAGCATCGCTGCTGCCCTCTGAGCCTGGCTGGTCCTCAATTAGGAACAGCAAGATCTGGCTGTCGGCAGAGCATTTCCTCTTTCTGAAAATCCAGGGTTTTCACAGACTCAGACACCACAGTTTCTGCCTCAAATTCAGGCAAATTGGTTTGGCAGAAAAAACATATAAAATGTAAATTTGCATTCTTTCTTTATAGTATTTTCTCTTTGTTTCAGATAGGAATAGAAGCCCTTTGTGATTTATTGATTTAGAGGGTTTTTTTTGTTTTTTGTTTGTTTTCAAGACAGAAAATAACTTGTGGTTTCAGCCTAAGACTAGGCCTGGTAAAGAGTTTATGCTCATGACTTAGAGGCAGAGGGAAGGGAAGAAGATGGTGCCAAGGAAGGAGAAAGGAAGAGGAAATCTTCCTGTAGATGAAAATGAAGAGAGGTCGGTGATCCTGTGAGTGGGCGACTGGAAATTTCTTGAGGGCAGGGATTATGTCTAATTCATTTTGCCCCCAAATAGCTAAAGAAATAACCAAACAGAGTAAGTGTCCAATGAATATGTATTAATGCAAACATTTATGAAATGAAGAAGGAAAGAAACAGGATATAGATGAACCCAGATTCATTAAAAAGTGTGTGATCCTGTAATGAGGCAGGTCCTGATAAAAACTGAATAACAAAGGAAAAAGTATTCCAACACCAAAGTAAAATCTGCAGTTAGAAGCTAGGAACAGAAACAGGGCCAATGCTTAGCTGCCTTCTTGGGCTTATCTTCTTTAGTGTAGATGGTTTGGAGGTCTTGGACAGGTTCCTGGGAACCACAGTAATCTTGCACCAGCTCTCACACGTGCGATTTGCGAGGGGGTCTGTGCCTGCACTGCTTTTTAATTTCAAGCTCATATTTTTCAAAAGTATCTACTATTATTTATCTGGCTCTGTGTCTCTCCACTTTTTTCAGAGCCTTTGCAGTGTTTATGTCTTAACATGTTTGAACAGTTTTTATCCATGTATTTGACACAGTGGCTGATGCACCCTTCGTTTGATGCAGCAAACGTCACAGTGTTCCAGACGTTTAAAAAGACGTAAGGAATTTCAATCAGGGCATTGCTTTAATAGAAATCATACATGTAGTGATGTTGAGGGATCAGAAGTTTGGGAAGAACGTGATTTCTCTCCGGAAAAGTCATCTCCGGAGTCCTAAGACCTGCAGTATAGCGTGGAGATAGGGTCCAGGCTCTCAGTGTCATTTTCGTTTCTCACCCCCTCAGCCCTTAGAGAGCTGAGCCTGAGCAAGTCGGGAGGGGCTCTTTGGAAGGATTGGGAAACTTCAGTTTAAATAATCCTGTAATTAAATCATGACTCACTGCATGCCTACTGCATGCCTGGCAGTACAGATGCATTCCACATCCAGTATCCGAGACACCCTCTCTGTGGGCACCTCACTCATTCCCCAGCAGTGGGGCCGGCCACCTGAGCAGCTGGCCTCCGGCAGGGCCAGGACTGAAGAGATGTCTGAAGTTAAATGCTGGAAGGTCCAATTTGCTCAAATCATTGAAAGAACTTAACACGGATGTCTACCAGATTGCAACAATGTTGGTTACTACAGTACAGTGACTTATTTAAGATAAAGTGGAGCTGGGCACGGTGGCTCACGCCTGTAATCTCAGCACTTTGGGAGGCCGAGGCAGGTGGATCACATGAGGTCAGGAGTTCTAGACCAGCCTGCCCAACATGGTGAAACCCCGTCTCTACTAAAAATACAAAAATTACCCAGGCGTGGAGGCCTGCGCCTGTAGTCTCAGCTATTGGGGAGGCTGAGGCAGAAGAATTGCTTCAAAATGGGAGGCAGAGGTTGCAGTGAGCCGACGTCGCGCCACTGTGCTCCAGCCTGGGCAACAGAGCAAGACTCTCTCAAAAACAGAAACAAAAAAGATAAAATGGTACCTCAACATCTTGATAATAAGGCCGAACACTTCTTTACAAGTTTATTTATTCTTTTTTTTTTTTTTTTTTTTTTTTTTTTTACTTTAAGATGACAGAGCCTGGCTTTGTCGCCCGGGCTAGAATGCAGTGGCGCAATCACAGCTCACTGTAGCCTCAACCTCCTGGACTCAAGCTATCCACCTGACTCCGCCTCCCAAAGTGCTGGGATTACAGGCGTGACCCACTGCGCCCGGCCCACTTACTCTGAAAATATTTTTTTGCTTACATTAATTTCCTCTTTAAAAACTCAGGTTAGCAAGGAAATTAAGGATTCTGCATTTTTACAAGTGCTCCAGGTAATTCTGATTCTCAGTTCCGAATTAAGATCTTCTGGATTGCAGTAAAAGGAAACATCTGTTCAGAACATAAGAAATGCTTCTCTAAGGTAGACTTTGTTACTTCCTTTTTGCACACAGGAAAATTGAAGCTCAGTAATAAACTAAGTTGTCTGATGCACAGTTAGTCAGTGGCAGGGCTGTGCTTTACACCAGGTCTGTCTGACTCAGGAGCTGATATTATTCCCAACATACACTAAATATTTTCTAAAAGAAAGCCCGTAACTTAAGATCCTTTGCATCCACTAAACAGAATATAAAGCCAAGCTTTATATTTTAAAAAGTCTGGATTTTAAAATAGATTATTTTATAAGCCAACTGGTTAAAAAGTTCTGATGTAACTGCATGAAAATTCTAACATATCTTGTCATCTTATGATTCGATAATATCTGGTTTGTTGGAGGAAAAGAGAAAATCCATAATTGGCTGTTGAGAAACTCGAGATGGGACTTGTACTCATGAAAGCTGAGGATCAGGAGGGCTTATGCCCACAGCCGCTGGGCCCCAGGATGCTGGACACGTTCACCCATGACGCGGGATGGGTTCACTTCTTTGTTAATAAATCCATCACACGAAAACAGCTGTCTCACCTCCGCTGTAAGAGAGGGTCAGCAAAGGCGCAGCTGTGGGAGAGTGTCACAAACTAGTGTTCAGATGCCAGGGGCCCAAGACACAGAGCCACATTTCACTCGGGTGTGATTTGCCCAGCGAAGAGTTAAACGTATGTTCCCTACTGAGAAACAGGAGGCTATTTCTCACTTGGTAAATGTCAACATGACCTGAGTGGACAGCATTATTCTCTCTCTCCTGTCCAGAGCTTGCAGAGAGTTTGACCGTCCTCCAGAAGAGTTAAGTGACCTGGCATTAAAATGACCTTTTATAGGTTCAAGGCAAAATCAATCAATCCTGAGAAGCCATTCTAACCTCTCATCCTGCTGGTAGTTTTCCTTTCATTCTGAATTCCCATGTAACTGACAGAGTTACAGCAAAGGAGGTGGAGACCCAGCCATCAGTGGGAGCCGTTCACTGCTGAGTGCCAGGGTCTTTGGCCAGCAGCTCTTCCTTGCCTGGTGCCCAGCTGCAGCTGGCAACATCTGTGACTGACCCTAGGGATCCTTGCCTGGTGCCTGGTACAGCTGGCAGCCTCTGCGAGTGACCCTGAGGATGAAGCACCCAGCGGTGGTGAAGGAAGGTCTGTTAATGAGCAGAATGTGGAGAGACCAGCAGGAAGAGAAGCAGAGGTGGCAACAACGCTTTCCACACTTTCTTGCCTCGTGGTCTCATTTTTCTCTCTGCCCTTTATCCCAGGAGAGTGTTCTCCACTATTTACAAATAAACTCGGGGCTCCTGTCCTTGTTTAGCTTTAACCAAAAGTCTTGGTGGATTCAGACTTTCACCCATTTCATTCAGGAGAAGCCCAAGATTTCATTAAAACTGGGGTTTTACAAACTTCCAGTGACAAAGCCTAAATCGTCATCAGTGCTGATGGGTTGGATCCTCTCATGGGGCGTCTGATCCATGTTTACCAGGTGCCTGCTATGTCCTCTCCACCAGGCGTGCAGCTCTGCAAAGAAGAAAAACCCGGCTCGTGCTGTCAGGGAGTGTGGGAAAGCCATGGAAAAGTTCTCCTGAAAAGTAAACGCACGCAGCATTCGGAGACGACTATTAATAAATAAAACGCGTGAACTGCTTTTCATGTGTGAGGTGACTGTTGTCACTCATGTTGGTCCTCTGCAGTGCAGTCCTAGCCTGTTTTGACCCCATTCCTATAAACACCGCAGGAAGGCACTACTTAGCTTGGTATTTGTGCCACTTAAACATGTTCCCGTTAAGCACATATTTGTGGTAATTGGGCATAATCCACTTAGTCTTGGTTTCTCATGAAAAATGTGTGGAAGGATTCTGTGCCCCAAGCCTTGATGGGTCATGCACAGTGGAATCGGAACTGTATCCAATGCACCCACACGCACAGTGGAATCGGAACTGTATCCAATGCACCCACGTGCACAGTGGAATCGGAACTGTATCCAATGCACCCACGTGCACAGTGGAATCGGAACTGTATCCAATGCACCCAGAGGCACAGTGGAATCAGAACTGTATCCAATGCACGCACCCTGCTTAATACCCACCTATGACATGTCCATCTCAATGGTGTCCAATGCACCCACCCTGTTTAATACCCACCTATGCTGTGCCCATCTCAATGACACATACCCGTGTCAGAAAGTAGCTGTAAAAGCATGTGTCTGGTATTTACGGTTTGGGCTGCTTTGCCTGCTGTTTCTCTTACCAGAAATGACAGAACATCCTTGGCGATGGCTCCTGCACACTTTCCAAGTGTGGTGTTGAAGGAGCAGCTTTTTAATCAGTTTCATGATGGGGAACCTTTTCTTCTCTGCAGTTTTCCCTGAAGAAGGTGGCTCTGTGCTGTTCTGGTTTTCTCTGTCTCGGTCTCTATCCCTTTTTGAGTTGCCTTTGCAGGTTTGTTATATATTTGTGGTTATAGAAATGCAACTTAAACCCCACTGGATGAGAAGACACACTTTGTATTTGGAGTTGAAGCTCTGGGCAGATCCTACTGGGCATAACAGGGATGCCCTGACACTTCCTGTGGCTGCCATTGGTGACACGTCCTGCCCTCCACTGGATAACATCATGCTGGGGTCATGGTTCTCATCCATGGTCAAGAGACCGTGTGCCTTACACACTGCTCCTCTGAGAGCCACTGAAGAGGGTGGAGGAAGGGACAGCAAGGAGAGAGGGAAGCAAAGTACTGGATCTGTTTTTATACATTGGGCTTCCATTTGTGTTTGAAGTAAGGATTCTATAACACACACACACACATACACACAATTATAAAATCACAGCATCAGGATAACCCAGGATGCCTCATTAACCTGTGAATAAAGAGACAGGGTCAGGCTAACAATAAAAGCCCAGATTGTACGGGAGTTGAAGACATCTTGGCCCTCTGCAAGATGACTCTCTCACACAGACTTGGAAACAGTTTGAGCCAACTAGCTATGGAGCCATAACTCCTATCTGCACTGGCACAATTCCCCAGATTCCAGAGCAGAAGGCTGCCTGGCTGGACGTGAGAGTGGAGACCTCCCTTGCCTCCCTCATCTCTCTGGGTCAGGCACTATCAGAGGAAACCAAGGCTGTACACTTGTGCCTGGATGGCCTCTCAAGTGTTGGTGCCATTGGAGAAGCAGAAGCACACATTTTACAGAGTTTGGAGGAACAGGGACTACAGAGCCCCCGTATTGAGCTTAGAACTAAATTGATATTTATCAAAAGGCTTCCCTTAGGGGCTGGAGTACATTTTAAAATCCCTTTTTTCTATGCAGTTTAAAATATAACGCAGTCCCTTAAATGCCCTCCGTTATTCCTCACTATGTATGCCACTGCGGGGCTGCCCGGTGCACAGGGTCTGCGGTGTGCAGTCAGCCCTCCTGTGATGGAAGGTGATGGGAACACCAGGTACACGGGGTCAGGTGTGCAGTCAGCCCTCCTGTGATGGAAGGTGGTGGGAACACCAGGTACACGGGGTCAGGTGTGCACTCAGCCCTCCTGTGATGGAAGGTGGTGGGAACACCAGGTACACGGGGTCTGGGGTGTGCAGTCAGCTCTCTTGTGATGGAGTGTGGTGGGAACACCAGGTGCACAGGGTCTGGGGTGTGCACTCAGCCCTCCTGTGATGGAAGGTGGTGGGAACACCAGGTACACGGGGTCAGGTGTCCCATCAGCCCTCCTGTGATGGAAGGTGGTGGGAACACCAGGTACACGGGGTCAGGTGTGCCGTCAGCCCTCCTGTGATGGAAGGTGGTGGGAACACCAGGTACACGGGGTCAGGTGTGCCGTCAGCCCTCCTGTGATGGAAGGTGGTGGGAACACCAGGTACACGGGGTCAGGTGTGCAGTCAGCCCTCCTGTGATGGAAGGTGGTGGGAACACCAGGTACACGGGGTCAGGTGTCCCATCAGCCCTCCTGTGATGGAAGGTGGTGGGAACACCAGGTACACGGGGTCAGGTGTGCAGTCAGCCCTCCTGTGATGGAAGGTGGTGGGAACACCAGGTACACGGGGTCAGGTGTGCAGTCAGCCCTCCTGTGATGGAAGGTGGTGGGAACACCAGGTACACGGGGTCAGGTGTGCAGTCAGCTCTCCTGTGATGGAAGGTGGTGGGAACACCAGGTACACGGGGTCTGGGGTGTGCAGTCAGCCCTCCTGTGATGGAAGGTGGTGGGAACACCAGGTGCACGGGGTCAGGTGTGCAGTCAGCCCTCCTGTGGTGGATGGGGGATGGTGGGAACACCCAAGGTGCAGACTGCCTCGTGTGGTTCCTGAAGTCATGTCTTTTCCTCCCAGTCCCCGATTCTTGGCTGTGTGTACTGTCAAGGAGGCAGTGCCTTCTGCTGGCCAAGGGGTCTGGAGTGCATGTTCCTCCTGCTCACTCAGTCGTCCCTCAGCTCTTGTAGCTCTGCACCCCACGGTCTCCATCTGACACCTTGTCCCTTAGAGAAACCCTGCACCATGCTGTGTGCCGGCTGGCCTCCCTGTGGGTCAGATTCATGGCCCTGGGGACCAGAGGAGTGGGCCTCCCGCCAGTAGCACTAAGGCCACGTGGACGCACAGAGGCTCCTAAGCGATGCCTGAGGCTCCTCCCGCTGGCTGAGACATGCCGCCCTGTGACCTAGGCCGGGAAGGCCAAGACACCCCAGCAGCCCAGGCACCGCCCACCAGTTCCTCGCTTTCCTTCGGCTCACAGGCATGTCCATCCTCTCCAGGAACACACCTGAGCTCTGTGCCTGGCGGTCTCACTCTTCCTCCTCCCATTCATTGTGACAAAAGTGTAAAGATCTGTATTCCAGGCGCAGTAGTACGTGCTGTGGCCATGGTTTCCCCCACGATTTTGAGAAAGTTACTGTTGTTTTCTTCATTATGCAGAAGAAGCTGAGATTCAGAGAAGTGAAGTGGGCTGCTTAAGACCTCAGACGTAGGGACTGATGGGACTGGACACAGCATGCTGTTCACCATGACTGTCCTGCACCCTTCAGACCTCAGGAGAACCCAAGGAGGCAGGTGCGGCTCTTAAGCACGTGCTGCTGACAGGGACACCGAGCCACAGAGGAACAAAGTCACCCACGGGACAGCAACAGACTGGGAGGCATCGGGTGAACCCAGCAGGGCAGCTCCTGAATCTGCCCCTAAACTAGGGGCTGGCGCCTGTGGTCATTGCCGCCCACCCCACAAATGTTTCGGTCAATAGTTTTACTGGCACACAGCCACAGGCATTCACTCCACATAGACATTGTCTGTAGCTGCTTGCAAAGCTGTAGCCGCTGAGTTGAATAATTGCAAGCAAGACCGCAAAGCCTAAAATACATATTTTGGTCCTTTAAAGGAAAAGTGTGCTGACCCCTGGTCCAAAGCACCAGACTGTACTGCTCCCGATATGCAGCAGGCCTTGACTGAGGACAGAGTATTTGTATCTACACTGTGGAAGGATATCTGAGGTCCTCTTGAAAAGCTCAATGTCCTACTGAGCATGGGCAGCAACACCTTCACTGAGGGGTGAGAGCTGGAGTGGTGACTGAACCTCTGGGGTGACGGCAGAGGCTGTCTGAGCTGTATATCCAGATGCACAGTTTTAACACCTGCAAGAATGCAATCTGCATCACAGCTGCCCAGGCCTGGGTCCTGCTGCACTTCCACTTCCACGAGAGACATGCAGGGGCCAGCTGGGGCTGGACAAGGGGAGATGGGTGGATGACAGACAGTGCTCTCCACTGACAGTCCTCTACCCCTGACCACCTAGACCCACTGACTGGCAGTTATCACTCCTGCTTTTATTTCCTTTGGGATAAGTTCTTTCCCAGGAGGCTCCTAGATTCTTTTTCAAACAAGATTTTAGCAGGCGCCTCCCATCAATCTTTCAGATACATTTGGATGTGTATGAGCCCAGCTGAGGCTTGAGTGAAGACGGCCACTACCCTGCACGTCCTAGCACCAGAGACTTATGTCAGAGCTCCTTGAAGATTCCTAGCACCCAGAGTGCTCCTAAACTAACGGTATTCCCTGGTTTCTAACAGAAGCAAATGCAAATCCTCTCTGAAGAAGAGCATTTCTTTGGCCCATTTTGTATGTCTGTGTAGCAGGGCGAACCACAAAGAAGCTAACGATTAAAAATTACCAGAAAAACCTGAAAGAGTGGCACCAGGAATGAGAGTCACAGAAAGCAAACCAAAAATGAGCCCAAGGAAAGAGAATATTAAAAATAACCAGACATAATTAGAATAGATAACTTTTAGAAATAAAAAAAATCAGTGAATTAAAAACTCAATAGTTGTTAAAATGAATGACGAGAGAAGTAAAATAGAAGATTTCTCTGAAGAAATTACACAGAGATACCCAGAAATATAATGAGATGGTAAATATAAAAGAGGTTAAGATATATAAAAAGTCAATTGAAAAACTCTAGCTTAAGTTTAAGCTGTGCCACAGATGAAAGAGTAAAGGGAATGGCATGAAAGCCATATTATGGAAGAACTAATACTAAGAAAATAAAAAAATCCACACTTATGCATATTCTAATAAAACTTCAGAACAGCAAAAACAAAGAGAAGATCTTAAATGCAGCTACAGAGACATGAGAAACATCTCTAATGAAATAATTCAACTGCCTGAAGATTAGTGAACAGAAACAATGAGAATTAGGAGACAGAAGAATAACCTTTTCCAAGCACTGTAAGAAAAGAAGTACCAACTGAAGATGGTGTACCTAGCAAAATTAGCTTCAAGAATTATAGCAATATAAAGACATTTTAGATAACAAAAAACTGAGTCACCTATAGGGAGAACATTATTATTAAATATAGTGCTAAATGATTATTTTGAAGGATTTCAGTAAGGAGAAAATAATCCTACAAACAAGTAAGAGAAAAGAGAGTGATAATTATGTGACTAAATGTAAACAACCATAATGATATAAATAATAATAAAATAATATATCTTGGGATTTTAAAAGATATGCAACTAAAATACAAGGAAACAATTGCAAATAAATTGGAAGAATGGTTAGTGAAATGAAAATTTCCTAATGCCAAAGTCTAGTCTTCCTCTTGAAAAGGTTTAAGTTATAGATTTCTTTTCTTGTATTTTCTTTGGTGGTTTTGGTATCAGGATAATTCTGAGCTTATAAAATAAGTTGAAAAGTTTTCCCCTCTTTATTTTCTGGAAGAGGTTGTATAAAATTGCTGTTAGCTCTTCTTTAAATGTCTGTTAGAATCCTCCAGTGAAATCATGTGGGCCTGAAAATCTCTTTTTGGGAGATTTTTAGTTAGGCTTCGATGTCTTTAATGTTTATAAAACTCTTCCAATTATCTATTTCATCTTGGTTGAGATTTTTCAGTTTGTGATTTTCAAGGAATTGGTTTATTTCTTCCAAGTGTCAAATTTATGAACATAAATTGGTTGTTGCAGTCCTTTATTTTATTTAGATCATGGTAGGATCTGTAGTGATATCACTTATTTCACTCCTGATATTTCTGGTTTGTATCTTCTCTTTTTTCTTTTGTCAGTATTGCTAGAGTCTATTAACTTTGTTGATTTTTTTTTTGAAGAAACAGCTTTAGGTTTTGTTAATTTTTTCTATTAAATTTCTATTTCAGTTTCACAGATTTTGCTCCCTATTATTTCCTTCTATCTACTTGATTTTAGTTTATTTTGTTCTACTTTTCTACTTTTTTGAGGCACTCACTTAGATAATTGATTTGAGACCGTTACTGTTTTGTAGTATAAGCAATTCATGTTATAGATTTCCCTCTTAGCACTGCTTTAGCTGCTGCACATATTTTGAAATGCTGTGTTTTCATTTTCATTCTATTCTATGTGTTTCTTAAACTTTTGGAGACTTTTTCTTGACACGTGGATTATTTAAAAGTCTGTTGCTTAATTTCCTTATGTTTAAATATTTTCCTGTTGATTTTTAGTGATTGATTTCTAGTTCGCTTTCATTATGTCAGATAATAGACTATATGACTACAATTTTTAAATGTATTGAAGTTTGTTTTATGTCTCAGGATGTGGTCTATCTTAGTGAATGTTCCGTGGACACCTGTAAACATGTATATCCTGCTGTTGTCATAGGCAATGTATTGCTTATGTCAATTAGATACTGTTAATTGACTGTGTTATTCAGATCCTATATATCCTGGCTGTTTTTCTGCTTATTTTTCAGTTGCTGAGAGAGAGGTATTAAAATCTACAACCATAATGTTTGATTGGTCTATTTCTCCTTTCAGTTGTTGATTCATGTATTTTAAGGTGCTGTTGTTTGGTGCATATACATTTAGAATTATTATAACTTCCTGGTAGATTTATCTTTTTATCATTTTTGTACTGTCCCTCTTTGTCTCTAGTAATTTCCTTTGCTCTGAAGTCGACTTTATTAGATATTAATAGAGTCACTTCTGATTTTTAGATTAATGCTGCATGGTCTGTCTTTGTTCATCCTCCTCCTTTCAAACGAGCCATATAATTGAATGTGAAGTGAGTTTCTAATAAGGTGCATATAGGTGAGTGGTATTTTCTTTATTTACTCTGCCAATCTGTGTATTTTGATTGATGTATTTAGGCCATTTTCATTTTATATAATTATTGATATATTAGGGCTTATCTCTGTTTCTGCGAGCAACAATTTTCTTTCTACTTTTCTTTCATCTGAGTATGTCTTTATTTGGAGTTGAAAGTTCTTTTCATTCAGCAGTTAAATGGTATGGGAAAAACAAGAAAAAAATATTGGGCTGCTTCTTTCTGGCTTTCATTATTTCAGGTGATAAATCCTTTATATTTTAACTGCTGTTCACCTATAGGTAATGGGTTTCTTTCTGGCCAATTTCAAGATGTTTTTTCTTTGTTTTCATTACCTACAGGTGTGTGTTGCGCTGTGGGATTCAGCTCGAATCGTCCTTCCCCCGTTAGTTGTGCACACATTAACTCAGCTAATCTGTGCAATGAGAAAAGCATGTCTAAATACGACTAAAGTTTTCAAAACCACCACGGCATGGAAAGTCAGTGATCCACAGATTAGAACAACATTCCATTGTAAAGCATCTCTAAGGAAAAGCATCCAAGATAAAAAGATAACAGCCTGAGAAAATGTTTGTAATAATGATGTTTATCACTTGCACATCTACCTGGGCTTGGTTCTGCCATTGGTTGAGGGTCTGGAAATGACGCCTCTGGGTCTCCTTCTTGTATGGGTAGGGGTATATCAGATGCCCTGCCACTGTGCTCATGTTTTCCTCTTTTTTAGTCCTTAGGTACCAAACCATTTTCACCTTTATCCAGCCACCATTCAGAGTTCTCCTTTGGTTGTTTCTTGCAGTATTTTCAGAGTTTCTAGTCATAGTTATTGGTGTGAGCAGGAAGAAACAGGTCTATATCAGCTTGAACAGGTCAGAAATTCTGCTAAAGCTATAGTCTCACAGAATGTCAGGGTTTATTTTAGCAAAACAAAAAATAGTGTATAAATCCTAATTGAGTGTACTGAAGGGAAAGAAGAAGAATTAAGAATAAAAATAATATCAAAGATTTATGTAGAGCTGACGTTGTGCTGGGCATACACACTTACACATATGCATATGTGCTCTGTGACTGTAGGAATCTAGGTTCTGTCTTGCTGAGTATTCCTAAATTAATATATTGAGACTTAACCTCTTTCTTGAACTTCAGGCTTGTATCAGCTTGCTTCATTAAAGTCTCTATTTTGCTACGTGAACACCTCAAACTCAACATGTCCAAACCACTTTCCATCTTCCCTGCACGCTAGTTCCTCCTGCAGATCCCTCACATTTGTTAGTGATGACTTCTCCCTTCCAGCCACTCCAGTCAGAGATCCTGGAGTCGCCTTTTGATGCCTCTCCTTATCTCATTACTCAGATCCAATCATTGGCAAGTCCAGTTGGTGCTACCGTCAGAGCATATCAAGAATCTAACCTCTCCTTTGCATTATTCCAGCTAGCCATCTTCTTAGGCTGTTGTCCCTCTCATTTGATGATGGTAGCAGCCTCCTAATATGATCCTGCTTCACCGGTTTCTCTCTTCTGCCCTTTTCAACACATCAGCCAGAAGGACCTTGTTAAGTCTGAGTCGGATGCAGTCCCTCTCCTGACTGTGTCTCCTACGGCTTCCCACTCCATCAGGGTGAAATCTCTTGCAGGGTTTTCAAGATCTCGTGTAATACATCCCACAACCTCTCCTTCTCTATCTAATGCTGGCCGTGTCCTGTCCGCCAGTCTCAGAGAGCTCTCCGTTCTTCCCCACTGCTACGTGCCAGGAGGCTGAACCTCATGACCTTTAGGTGCAGGCTCCTTGCTTTCCGTTTTCAGCTGGCTTTAGAACTGGAAACACCAGGAGGAAGTCAGGATGTGGGAGAAGGGTGAAGCTGGGGAAGTCTCTCTTTCTCCCTTCTCCTCGGCCAGGTGTTGGCAAGGGTTGCTCTTCTTTGTGTCCACAGATCCTGTCCAGTGGGCTCCCTACAGCCCAGGCAGGCTCTTGCGGGGCTCCATGGTTATACCTCGCCTTGCTTCAGGCCAAGGGTTTGGAATGGTTTGCTTAACTGATCACACCTCCATACTTCTCTTTTGAATGTGCCATCTGCTTCCTGCTAGGGCACTTATTTTCTTGCTATGCACCTGCCTGTTGTTGTTTTCGTGGCCTGGCCAGGTGGTCCTCCTTCCTATCACTTTAACAACAAGCATGAATTTGAAGTTGCCATCATTTCTACCTAGAATGTGCTTCCAGATATCCATGTGCATCACTCTCCAGGCTTCCTAAACAGAAGGATCGAGTGTTGTGGGTAGTGACTAACTGGGGGCAGTGGTGCATACAGTAAAGGGATTTACAAAGGCAGTTTACCTTTACCTACAAGGTAAAGGAAGGTGGATTTGTTAAAGAAAGTATGAAAATATGTTGCAAGGATGCAATGGGTAGATCAGCAAGAAAGGAGCTGAGTTCCAGGAGACAAAAGCTTGCTGGGTATTTTACAGGATGGTGCTTGTGCTGGAGAGGAATACGTGCAGTACTGGTAACACTAAGATTGCAGTGAGCGAACCTGCATTTTTCTGTCAGCTGAGGTGTCTGCTGGTAAGTCAGGCATAGGGAGATTGTGTGTTAGATGGGCTATTTGCGCAGGAGGGCTGTGTGTCCTGGACCATGAAGAAAGGCAGATTTGTAGTTTATCTGCTTTGTCTTTTTGCTTTCCCTGCTCCCCCTAGCCTGGCTCCTTTTCCTAATCAGGACCCCACACCAGATCACACCCTCACTCCCAAGTCTGGTCATTTTCTTTAAAGTTAGAATATATCCACTTCCCACCGCAATGCTCTGGGTTCCCTTTATCCTGGCTTACGTCACATAGAAAAGCGTAATTTATAACTTAACAAAAGTGAGTAGCTAACGAAGAAAGCAGATCATACATGACACCATAAACTGTAAACAATAAAAGCTGAATTGGTAAAGATCTTCTAACTGGAAAGCCCCATACCGAGATGGTGTTAAATGCATCGTTTCTATAAATGCTCATGGTATTTTTATAAGGTGGACACTATTATTTCATCTTAGAAATCAGCAAAGAGAGGCTTTGAGAAAGGAACTAAATTGCCCAAGATCAAACAGCCAGTAATGTCAGGGCAGGGATTAGAAAACTTTAACAATTATAAAATTTCATGAAACATGAAAATAAGGAATACATCCCTTCAAAGCAGCTATGAGATGTATGTATTAGAGCAAAGGAGCAGTGAAAGTTACTGCATATTTCTTGGCACTTAGTCCATGGATTGCTTTCAGTGTTATGATTCCTCTGAGTCACAGAACCTGACAATTGTGAGCACTGTTACTGCCCTAATTCCTGCAGCCTCAGCTGTGAAACTTTCAGTATTTTTCTTTTGTTTGTTGAGCCAGTTATTAAAAAAATGAACTACAACAGCTAATTCTTTCTGTTTATCTAAATGCTTGTCAAAATGCCTAAGCAGTGATTTGCCAGGTTTGGGAGTTATACGTGCTTATACATTTCAAATAAACTGTGGCAGCGGCCTTAGCTTTTGTGGCTCCAGCAGGCGTAAGTGAGTGTGTGTGCTTTCTCTCTCCGCATCTGCTGCTTGACATCTTTAATTTATTATTCCTGTTATATAACTTTGTTTTGGCGCTTGAACTTCCATTCCCATGACTTTATGTTGAAAAACAGTTTTAAATCTAGGATTTGCATTTCACCACAGTGATAGAGCCTGGTTATTTATTGTTATTTGCAATATGGCATATAATATGGCAATAATCTATGTCTAGTCAACAGTCAGGAATAACAAAAGATTCATGGCATATTAAAACAAGATTGATGTCCCTCTGCCGAGGGAGGTTATTGCTGGCCTAAGCACAAATGGCCAGAGTGAGTTGCACAGGCTGTGCAGCCCTGGAGGCCGTGGCTCTGGCCTCTCAGCCTTGCTCACACCCAGACCCCTGCACCCTTCTGTGAAGAACCCCTGTGATTTCAATCCTGCAGTGTGAAGTTGCCACGACGGAGCCAGCATCTCTATCCAAGTCTCCTGGGTGATAGAACGCATATGTAGGCCAAACTCTGCAGCACTGATGCAGCTGGTGATGACTAAACATGGCAGATTTACCTAGTCAGTGACTTTATGCAGGAAGAAACCGAATGCATGTGCGCATCTTGAGATGCGTGGGCCTTCTGTCCTGTGTGCAGCTGCGTGTGCTCCCCCACTGGCCCGGCCTGCGCGCTTTTCTGCCCCGGCACTCGCCAGCTGCCCAGTCCAGCTCAAGCCGGGATTTTCCACGGCTGCCTCTGAACGGTCTCCAAGCCGCAGCTTCCTCTCCTCCTTCTGAGCTCCAAGTACCATTGCTATAAGGGGACAGGAGCAGGGTGGGAGATTGTCCTGAGTCTTGACTCTGACTGTGCTGTGTGCAGGGTTATCACCTTTCCACATCCCACTTTCTTCGTCTTTACAGTGGGGAGAGCAACTTTTACCTTTCCCATCCCGAAGCAGGGCTGTGGTGGTAGGAAGATCAAAGAAATTGCTTTAGCTTTTAAAAATAGACAAGAAGCCAACAGTTCTTGGGTGGACGTGTCAGACCTGTTCCCGACAGGACAGATGGCAGCACAGCCAGACCCGCTCAGTGTCCCAAGAGCAGCCCCGGCAAAGCAAGGCGGGAGCCGCCCCTCACCAGCCCAGCTGTGCTCACACACCCCCTCTGCAATGTCGGATGGTTCACAACAGGATTTATCGTTTTCTTTAAAGTCGCCTTGTGGAAACTCTTGTATCCCTTACTCTCTTGTGCTGTTATTGAAGGTTTAATGGGTTCGTTTTGACTCCTCAGATAGACTGTGCTTGATATTTCTTGCAAGCTCAACACGATGGCTGGAACATGTAAGTGTGTGAGTTAAAAACAGTTTGGGC